>NT_187645.1:0-170680 GCF_000001405.40 Homo sapiens | reverse complement strand
GAATTCCCCATGAGTCCTGTGACCTCAGCCCACACGGGGACCTACAGGTGCTACGGCTCACTCAGCTCCGACCCCTACCTGCTGTCTCACCCCAGTGGCCCCGTGGAGCTCGTGGTCTCAGGTGAGGGCGCTGACCCTGTCCTCTCTGAGCTCAAAGGCTCAGCTCAGGCCCTGCCCCCAGCAGAGCTCTGGACACTAAGGAAAGAGGGGAGTGAAGGGAGAGGGTCCGCAGGGGAGGGTCCAGCCCATGGGAAGATGGAAATAGACAGGGACCTCCCACCCCTGGCTCCCACCCCTGAAGTCTCAGTAGAGTAAAGTGCAGGGAGGGCTGGGAGGAGACGGGGGGTGAACCTCAAAGGAGTTGAGATTAGACTGAGGGTGGAAGACGGAGGCCCCACCTGCTCCCATCCTGGTGTCTCCACCTCAGAATCAGAGCCTCTGTGTCCCAGTCCCCAACAGACGCCCTCCTGGAGAGAGAAGCATCCAGGCTGCCGGTGCCACCTGCATCCACCCCCGACCCCCCCCCACCCCGCCCCACTTCCTGCTTTCCCCTGCAGCCTCCCCAGCACTCAGCGCACACCTGAGCCTCACAGGGACTTGCACGTGCTCCCGCAGCAGCTCAGGGAATGTGCACCGCTCCTCTTCTGCGCCGTTGACATTTTTTATTTGGGTTTTTAAAATCTCATATTGGCCTTTTTGTCCAAGCTGGTGAAAGTAGATTTGCAGCATCACCTATTTTTATTCTCACCCGGTTTCGTAATAGCCCTGATCTCACGTGCTCCCTGAGGTTTTGTAAACTTCAGGTAGAAATGTGGACTTCCTTCGTTCTGGACATTTGCTATGGAGGGGGTAGGGCTTATCTTTTCAGAAAAAGTCAAATGACTGGTACCACTCCTTGAAACCCTACAGCACTTTCCAGACCTCAGAGGGAGGGAGAGAGAGGCAGAGACAGAGACAGAGAGACAGAGAGAGAGATATTGGGGCCGCTCTTTCCTGGCCGGTTCATCCTGGCCTATTCTCAATCCACCAAGGCCCCGAAGCTCATCTCCCCTCCTCCTCTGCCTCCTCCTCCACCCTGTAGACAAGCGGCCATTCCTTTCTGAAGAACAGGCTGAGACCTTTCTGGGACCTGCTCTTTCTGGAGCCTCTGTTGCTCCCTGTCTGGGTCTCCACACGCCTCCTTCCTGGCCCTTTTTCCTATTGAGGAATCAGCTTCAATGTCACCTCCAAGTGTGACCTTCACTGACGACACAGCTCAGCCCAGTCCTGCCTGCTTCTCATTTATGTCAAGTAATTAACCAACCTACACCATGCGGCTGAATTCCTTCTCTCTCTCTTCCACTCTCTGCATATACGTGTGTGTGTGTGTGTGCGCGTGTGTGGTCACACCAACATCTTACGTGACATTGAAACCTAGTTATCCGTATATCTATACAAATAATATATATTCACACATAAATATAGGTCTCTACCAATATATCTAAAACCATTGCTACGACTAGTAAATTTCCACTGCTGTGTTTCTATATGTTTGCTGTTTGTCTCCAGGTGAACCCACACTTCAAGAAGGCAGAGATAGTTTTTAAGGCCCACTATATATATAAAACAGATATATATTTGTGTTTGTGTTTTTCTGTGTGTGTATCACATTCTACCTGTTGCTGCCTATACGAATAATTAGCTACCTAGAGATTAAATGGACAATGAAACTCCAGGTGAAGTGGCTGAGGGCATGAAGGGGAGGCAGCCCCAGAATTTCACCCCTTTGTGCTTCTGACATTGAGGCTCCCCTGATGACTAACCCTCATCCACGGAGCCTGGGTCCTCAGCTGGTGGATCCGTGAAACTCTCATCTCCGGGGGAGTTGGCTCATGTTCTCCTGTGTCCCAGGCTGCACAGAGAGCACACAGGCCTTAGTGACCTCTGTACTGGGGACCACTTTCCTTGCAGATCCTGAGCTCTCAGGATGCAGGAAAACTCTCTCCCAGATGACTCAGGAGCAATGTTTAAATCCATAGAACACAGGAAAACTGAAATCGTTCAATGAGGAGACTAGAGGGAATCCTGCTAGCGGAGGAAGAGGTTTTTTTTTTTTTTTTTTAGAAATTCTGTAAAAGTCACATCATGAGACATTAAGTAATAAAAAAAAAATTGCAGAGCCCAGGTGAGAGGCTGGGCTCAGGTCTCTTTTTCTCTGTTTTGATTCTCTGGAGCAGCTGATACCCTCAGCCCATCACAAAACAAGTCTGACTCTGAGACTGGTATGTGAGGAGATACTCTCAGTGATGGGGCTGGCACTGAGGGTTGGGTCCTGTGAAGGGGAGGTGGGTGCCCTGGGTGGACAATCTGATCCACCCTGACCTCTGTGACCTCTTTGTCCACCATCCCCAGCCTCACACCTTCAGGATTACGCAGTGGAGAATCTCATCCACATGGGCGTGGCTGGCTTGATCCTGGTGGTCCTCGGGATTCTGTCATTTGAGGCTTGGCACAGCCAGAGAAGCTTCCCAAGATGCAGCCGGGAGGTGAACAGCAGAGAGGATAATGTACTTTATAGAGTCGTGAAGCCTCAGGAACAGATCTGATGATCCCAGGAGGTTCTGGAAGAAAATCTAGGGCCGATGCTATCTGGACTGTCTGCTGGTCATTTCCAGAGGAAGGAATCAATGTCCGAGTGCAGGGACATTTTCTGGGGTGATCCATGGAGAACCATTAAAATGTGATACCTTTCCTCTCCATTAATGTTGACTTTCCTTGGTTGGATCTGCCTCTTTTCCCACACTTAGACATGAGGCTCCATCCCACATGGCAGCGTTGGGTCCACACCTCTGCACACCTGCATGCTCTGGTCCATGGCGTGTCACACAGTCCTCTTCATTTCTCATTGCCACACTTCCTGGTGTACTTTACTGGGTCTTCATGTCTTCAGTTCAGAGTTCCGCACCTGGTTTAGGAACTAATTCAACGGGAGAAGATCAGAGTCCGACCAGGAAAAGATAAATGCACCGTGATGCCCTCACCTCCTGTGTGGACCCTATGAGCTCTTCCCTCCTTATCAGATGCTATCTGTGTAGTTTCTCCTGAAATATCACCACCTGGAATCAACACACTGGCATTTGAAGTCACGACCCAATGGTATGCTAATTCTGAAAAAGACATTTTTTGAAATGCTATGATTAGTGGCATTTACCAATTTCCTTGACGTAAATTCTTTTTTCATGGCCATAATCAAGATGCCAACGAGACATCCCTGAATGCAGGGTTGGGAAGCGTTGGACAGACTTGTCTTCACTCATAAGCACCAGGCATCTGATAGCTCACGTATACATCTTATTACCTTCCATTTTAGAGTGAATAATCATTTCTACTTCAGTATTTTGGCACAGGTAAAAGCAGTCCCATTACTGCGCGTATACCCAAAGGAATATAAATCATTCTATTGCAAAGATACATGCACACATGTGTTCATCGCAGCACTATTCACAATAGCAAAGACATAGAATCAACCCAAATGCCCATCAATGATAGACTGGATAAAGAAAATGTGAGACATATACACCACGGAATACTATGAAGCCATAAAAAGAAACAAGATCATGTCCTTTGCAGGGACATGGATGGAGCTGGAAACCATTATCCTCAGGAAACTAACACAGGAACAGGAAATCAAACGCTGCATGTTCTCACTTACAAGTGGGTGCTGAACAATGAGAATGCGTGAACACAGGGAGGGGAACAACACACACTGGGGCCTGTCGGGGGGGGGGTGGGGTAGGGGTAGGGAGAGCATTAGGAAAAATAGCTAATGTATGCTGGGCTTAATACCTAGGTGATGGGTTGACAGGTGCAGGAAACCACCATGGCGCACATTGACCTATGCAATAAGCCCACACATTCTGCACATGTACCCCGGAACTTAAAATAAAAATAAAAATTAAAATTAAATTATGACACCATGATCCTAGCATATCCAAAAAAGACAAAAATGCCAATATCAAATGTCGGAGAAAATAGGGCTGAATTAAAAATCCAATACAACGCCGGGCGCAGTGGCTCACGCCTGTAATCCCAGCACTTTGGGAGGCCAAGGTGGGTGGATCACTTGAAGTCAGGAGTTTGAGACCAGCCTGGCCAAACGTGGTGAAACCCTGCCTCTACTAAAAATACAAAAATTAGCCGGGTGTGGTGGCACTCGCCTGTAGTCCTAGCTACTAGGGAGGCTGAGGCAGGAGAATCACTTGAACCCGGGAGGCGGAGGTTGCAATGAGCTGAGATCATGCCACTGAACTCCAGCCTGGGTGACAGAGCGAGACTCCGTCTCAAAAAAAAAAACAAAAAAAAAAAACCCTCAAAAGCTCAGGCAGCAAAAGCAAAAATAGGCAAATGAGATCATAGCAAACTGCAAACCTTCTGCACAATCAAGGAAACAAACAGCAGAGTGAAGAGACCACCTACAGAATGGGAAAGAATATTTGCAAGCAAGAGATTAATCTCCAGAAAATACAAGGAGCTCAAACAATGCAGAGGTTTTGAAGGATGGTGATGAGAAGGTTCTGCTACTTACAGAAAGGAAGTTTAGGAGAAACAAAACCACAAACCTAGGTGGTGGGATGGCTTGATCTGCTTCTGTCTGTGACTCACTTAACAGTCTTAAACACATCTCCCTAAGCCTCCTTCCCCCGGTGGGATTCCTGGGTCTTGTGAGGACCTCATCGGTCCCTCTGGTAAACCCAGGCACAGAGTGGAGCAGCTCTTGTTTTCTCAGGATCTTCCCCTTCACATACAATTAACGCACCCACACGATGCTACTCTTAGAACCCTTCAAATAAATGTTTCCCGGTTCATTCACTACCAGAATCCAAGCTCAGCTTGTTCCCCAGCTTAGGACTGAGTGGTATCTTGGAGGTAGTTTCCACCATAGCCCCCTTCCTCTGCTATAAGGCTCAGTGACACACCAGAGACACCCCCTCCAGCCAGGCTCCTGGAAGGTCTGGATGAAGACTGGGATGCTGAGGCATTGCTCAGCAATGTGGCTTAACTCAAACTTCTATGTGAAACTTCCAACCACTTTCAGCAAGGGGTCACTTCCAGCGTCTTGGGGTGTGAGGGCACTTTGGTTGGTCCCTGCAATATCAGACCCTATAAAGATCCTACAAACATGTTGCAGACTCTTTGAAGATTCTGGCACTTTCAGACATGCTGTTGGGAAATGGTGACACCCATAACCTTCTAGTTCCAGGACAGGGAGCCTTAGCCCAGGGCTATGTTTTCTGAGGGTCCTCAAAGTAAACAGTTCTATGTGCCAGGAGAACCCTAAATCTCATATGGTTCTAAGGGCAGAAAGCCACACACGCACCGGCAAAAAGCAAGAGATTCAAGGAAAAGCTGAGCAAAGACAGACAGGAAAACACACACATGATGAGCCAGCTTGTAGAGCTAGAACTGAGATGGAGAGAGGCACGAGTGGGTAACAGAGTGTGCTCCCCAGAACAGGTGGAGAGAATGCCTTTTTCATGCCCTGAGGATAGGCTGGGTAAGGCTTGTGCTCGACAGTCAAGGACTATTTTTTTCCCCAGGCGTCTACAAGAGACCTTCCTTCTCAGCTCAACTGTGCCCTGCAGTAAGTAATGATGGAGAGAATGTGACTTTGCTCTGCAGCTCTGGAAGCTCATTTGACCTGTGCCTTCTAACGAGGAAGGTAAGGCCCCTGGACACTGGCTCACTGGGGTGCAGAGACAGAGTGGGGCATTCAGGCCAACTTCTCTCTGGGTCTTGGGGCTGGTGATGGGACCTCTAGATGCTGCAGCTCTCTGTCGATGGCTCTGCCTGTGAGTGATCAGCCCTAGATGACCACTGTTACTGGGGGTAGCCCATGCCTGCTGCATGCCCTGTGAAACACTAAATCATATAGCCACGTCTGAGGGACAGCCTGCTGGAGACATGGGAATCTTAGGGATTCCAGACAAAATGAAGCAATGAGAAACACAAAGAGGAAAAGAGAGGTTGAGTATGACAGTGGTGTCAGGGTGTAGGGTGGTAGACAGGGCAGCTCCACACTCTCCACTGCTTCCTGTCTGGAGGCCCACTTTGGGGTCCTACTTATCCAGGTGAGTGAAGGAAGAGGTCAGGACAAACACAGGAGGTGAAGCCAGATACAGTGTGGGGAGATAAGCAGTGGCCTCAGCCTCTAGCCCTTTTCCATCTTCCAGAAGCCCCTCCTGAGCTCTCATCACAGACAGATTTCCCATTTGGAAACCCAGATATTTATCATGCCGGGGGGGGGAGGCAATGTCTCTTGATTATGGGGACTTTCCATCACCAGGCACCTGCTAGTCCTCTCTATACCTTCCCTTCAGGAAAGGAATTGTCCCTCATGGGATTCCAGGGAAGAGACCCCAGGACCCCTATCAGTCACTAGGGAGATGACAGAGTAGAGGAAGTCAGGGGACCAACCCTCCACAGAGAATGGTCCTACTTCAGTGGGGTGAGGGAAACTCTCACTCATCCATTTGCTGTCCTGTTACCTCGGAACCCTAAGAGAACTTGTTAGTCACACACAGAATCTACCCCTGAATGTGGTGTGCAAAGTGGGGCTCTTAGCCTCCAGTGTGAAGTCCCTGGGAAGATGGAATGTCCCTGTGTGAGTGAAGGCTGTGCCACCGCCCAGCTATGTGGCCTTGGGCTAGGCAACCCCTCCCAGGTCCCCAGTTCCCCATCTGCATCGGAGACTGTGGCCAGTGCGGGAATCCACAAGGCCCTTCAGCCTCCAAAGCTCTGGGACAGAGGCCTCGTCCACAGGGAGGAAGGGGTCAGAGTGACCTGAGTCCCTACTCAGGAGCGAGTCTAATCCACTCTCCATCGGGGCCTGTGGGGAAGGGAAGATGAAGAAACGGAGCCTGCACCTGGCTATGTGGGCGCAGTAGATTAAGGGGAGGATGAGGGTTCCTGAGAGTGTGTCATGTGGCAGAGACCCTGCAGCACACTCAGGAAGGGCTCTGGAAGGATCCAAGGAAATTTTCCAAGAAGAGGGCAGAGTAAGTGACAGAGACCCTCAACCATGGATTTCACTGAGGTGCCCATGATGACATAGGGAGAACGGGGGTGTCTGGGCAGGAAGAATATCGTCAGGGTGAAATGAATGGTGATGAGCTTCGTGTCAGAGCTCCTGTGGAGGGAGGGGCCTGGCCCACATGAAAAGGTCTCTGATCCTACCCCAGCCCCCAGCCCCTGTTCTCCAGGATGACACTGTGGGAATTCCATCAGGAGGGGTGTGATAGGGCTGGTCTTCCTGGCTCGATTCACAACACTGGCTGGGGACTGGGAACCCATGGGGAGCCACAGGTGGAAAGGGAGGAGCCTCAGTGAACCCAGCAGGAACAAACATAGGGTCTGACATGATGGAACTCACTTCCTGGAGGCCAAGAAAGACACTTGCGGGACAAAAGGGAAAGAGCGGTGGCTTGCTTAGTTCCATTCACTGACAACCCACAGGAGATGTCCAGTCCTTTTTTGATTTATTATTTTATTTTATTATATTTTATTTTATTTTATTTTATTTTCACATGGAGTTTTGCTCCTATTGGCCAGGCTGGAGTGCAATGGCACGATCTTGACTCACTGCAACCTCCACCTCTCAGGTTCAAGCGATTCTCCTGCCTCAGCCTCCTGCATAGCTGGGATTACAGGCGACTGCCACCACAGCCAGGTAATGTTTGTATTTTTAGTAGAGATGAGGTTTTGCCATCTTGGCCAGGCTGGTCTCAAACTCCTGATCTCATGTGATCCGCCTGTATCAGACTGCCAAAGTGTTGGGATTACAGGCGTGAGCCACCACACCCAGCCTTTTGTATTTTTAGTAGAGATGGGGTTTCACCATGTTGGTCAGGCTGGTCTTAAACTCCTGACCTCAGGTGATCCATCCACCTCGGCCACCCAAAGTGCTGGGAGTACAGATGTTAGCCACCGTACCCAGCGAGAGTTTCAGTGCTCTATCGGATTCCCTGCCTACTCCATGTTGCATGTAATGTTCCACCTCAGGGATGTTTCTCTCCTTTCTGTCTCCTTCCTCTTCTCCTTCTCCTTTTTTCTTTCTAATTTTTATTTTTTTGAGACAGAGCCTTGCTCTGTTACCCAGGCTAGAGTACAGTGGCACGATCCCAGCTCACTGCAACCTCTGCCTCCTGGGTTCAAGAGATTCTCCTGACTCAGCCTCTCAAGTAGCTGGGATTACAGGCACCCGCCATCACACCCAGCTAGTTTTTGTATTTTTAGTAGAGACGAGGTTTCACCATGTTGGCCAGACTGGTCTTGAACTCCTGCCCTCAGGTAATCCACCCGCCTGTGGCCCCCCAAAGTGCTGGGATTACAGGCGTGAGTCACCACTCCCAGCCCTGAATGATCTTTCCTCTTTAGTGTGTTCTCACAACCACCTCTCACTGAGCTTTCTTGTTTTTTGTTTTTGTTTTTGTTTTTGTTTTTGTTTTTGGCAGAGTCTGGCTTTGTTGCCTATGCTGGAGTGCAGTGGTGCAATCTCAGCTCACTGCAACCTCCGTCTCCTGGGTTCAAGCGATTCTCCCACCTCAGCCTCCTGAGTAGCTGGGATTACAGGCACCCACCACCACACCCAGCTAATTTTTGCATTTTTAGTAGACACAGGGTTTCACCATGTTGGTCAGGCTGGTCTCGAACTCCTGACCTTGTGATCTGCCAGCCTCAGCCTCCCAAAGTGCTGGAATTACAGGCATGAGCCACCACTCCCAGCCCTGGATTATCTTTCCTCTTTAGTGTGTTCTCACAACTACCTCTCACTGCTGGGTTTTCTCTCTTTCTTTTTTTTTTTTTTTTTTTTTTTTTTTGAGACAGTCCGGCTTTGTTGCCCAGGCTGGAGTGCAGTGGCGCGATCTCGGCTCACTGCAAGCTCCACCTCCCAGGTTCAAGCGATTCTCCCACCTCAGCCTCCCTAGTAGCTGGGATTACAGGCGCATGCCAGCACACCCAGCTAGTTTTTGTATTTTTAGTAGAGACAGGGGTTTCACCATGTTGGTCAGGCTGGTCTTGAACTCCTGACCTTGTGATCTTCCTGCCTCGGCCTCCCAAAGTGCTGGGATTACAGGTGTAAGCCACTGCACCCAGCCAGCTTTCTCATTCTTATCCCTTAGTTCTCTGCCAGGGAATAAGATAGAAACCATTCCCTCAACCACATTCTAGTCATGGTCCCTATTCTCATGTTTCCACTTCTCTCTCTTTGGTAATAAATCAATTAATTGAGAAACAAGTAGCTAAATGTTCATCTTCTGCTAGTCTGCATCCCCTTATTTTCCCAGAGCCTCCCCTAATGAAACTGACTTTATTTACTGAACGCAGGAAATGGGTCTCTCCAGATCAGGATGACTTTCTGCTGGGAAATATTTGTCTTTGCATCAGTGGGGAAAAAGAAAGCCGATGTCATGAGTGGAGGCTCTGAGAAAATAAGGGCTGTGTTTTCAGTTTAGACCCAGCTAAGTTGGGAGCTGACATAGATATGATGTTGGGTCCACCCTCCACGGGCAGGTTTTCAGACAAAGGATCCCTGGCAATCAGGGGACACCTCAGGTCTGGGCTGAGATGTGTGCAGAGGGCCTGGGTCCTCCTGAGCCCCTGCACTGGGGGGGGAATAAGAGACAGGCCCAGCAAGGGGCTGTCCACTTCCTGTGGGTTCACAGCTGTGGGGACCCAGGCAGGCGGCAGCAGGCTCTGACTTAACCACATCCGTGCATCTGTCTGTCATGGAGGGCCATGTGGTCACCTGTCCCACAGCTGGAGCACGCAGAGCAGGCATCATGGTGTCCATCCTCACTGTTCTTCTGTGCCTCAGTCAGTGGTGGAGAGACGAGGGACAGGAGGGGCACTGGGCTGAGGTGGGGAGGGTCCCACAGCAGCCTTGTTCACCAGAGAGCCTCAGGGCTCCAGTGGCTACTGGTGCTCCAACAGGAAGGGAAGCAGCCACACCTCTGTGTTCCAAATCCCCCACAGGAAACTCTTCTCCATGGCTGAGTCTGGGCCAGAAAGCCCAAGCACTTGCAGGTGAGTCTCTGCTAACCTCCCATGCCTGACCTCACACTCAGCACCTGGACTCTCATCTCAGGGGCTTCTGAACTGAGGGTGAGAAAATCAAGAGGGTCTGTGACCTGAGCTGGGAATGAGGAGCGGGGGAGGTCTGTGGACCCCAGCCTGTGGTTTCTTCCAGGGACCCTCCCCAAACCCAGCCTCTGGGCTGAGCCAGGCTCTGTGATTACCTGGGAGAGCCCCATGACCCTCTGGTGCCAGGGGACCCTGGATACCCAGGGTTACTATCTCACCAAGGAAGGAAACCCCATGACCTGGTACCAACAGAGCCCACCAGAGCCCAGGAACAAGACCAACTTCTTCATCCCATCCATGAGAGAGCACCATGCAGGGAGATACCACTGTCACTATCTCAGCCCTGCAGGCTGGTCAGAGCGCAGCGAGCCC
Organism: Homo sapiens; assembly: GCF_000001405.40. Lineage (NCBI taxonomy): Eukaryota > Metazoa > Chordata > Mammalia > Primates > Hominidae > Homo > Homo sapiens. The sequence goes on along the minus strand of NT_187645.1, from coordinate 160,189 downwards.
CTGGAGCTGGTGGTGACAGGTAAGAGGACACTCAGGGGTCCCAGCCCCAGGCTCTGCCTGCAGGAAGGGGGTCAGCTCTCAAGGGCATCTCCGTTCTAATAACTCAGCCCTGGGGGATGATGTGGGACGCGTGAGCCCCATTTAAGACAGTGTCTCCTTCTCTCCTAGGAGCCCACAGAAAACCCACTCTCTCAGCCCTGCCGAGCCCTGTGGTGACCTCAGGAGAGAACGTGACCATCCAGTGTAGCTCAAGGGTGGGATTTCACAGGTTCATTTTGATTGAGGAAGGAGAAAACAAGCTCTCCTGGATGCTGGACTCACAGGAACTCTCCAAGGGGCTGTCCCTTGTCCCTGGCCCTGTTCCCTGTGGGCCGTGTGGCTGCCAGTCACCGGTGGATGTTCAGATGCTATGGGCATTACACGAACTTCCCCTGGGTGTGGTCGGAACCCAGTGATACCATGGAGATCCTGGTCTTAGGTATGGATGTCTTCCTCCTTGCCCTATTTATTTTTGAGAACTTACTCTCACGGAGCCCCATGTAGGAGGGTGGAACAAGGGAAGTTTGGGACTCCTGAGCCCAGAGACACTGAGTGTGAGAGACAGTGAGACCTGCAGGGCCAGGAGGGGAGAAGGAAGGGGTGTGGGAGGAACCAGCCCTCCTAGTCCCGACTCTTCTTTCCCTCCAGGCGTGTCTAGGAAGCCCTCCCTCCTGACCCTGCAGGGCCCTGTCGTGGCCCCTGGGGAGAATCTGACCCTCCAGTGTGGCTCTGATGTCGGCTATGACAAATTCACTCTGTACAAGGAGGGGGGACATGACCTCGTCCAGGGCTCTGGCCGGCAGCCCCAGGCTGGGCTCTCCCAGGCCAACTTCACCCTGGGCCCTGTGAGGGTCTCCCACGGGGGCCAGTACAGATGCTACGGTGCACACAACCTCTCCTCCGAGTGGTCGGCCCCCAGTGACCCCCTGAGCATCCTGATCGCAGGTGAGGAGCCCAGCAGGTTCAGTCAGGGACCCAGGCTCCGCACAGGCCCTGCTGGGGGAGCCCAGGTGGTGATGGCCGGGATGAGGGGTGGGGGTCCTAAGGGACGGAGAGACAGACAGAGACAGGGGATGGGCGGGGAGGGGGAGACTCAGAGAAAACAGAGACAGAGACACTGAGGGTCCCAGGGAGAGGCCTGGGGAGGTGTCAGCTCAGAACGAGGTGGGGCAGCCCCTCACCCATCCTTCTTCTCTCCAGGACAGATCCGTGGCAGACCCTCCCTCTCGGTGCAGCCGGGCCCCACGGTGGCCTCAGGAGAGAACGTGACCCTGCTGTGTCAGTCACGGGAGCAGTTGGACACTTTCCTTCTGACCAAGGAGGGGGCAGCCCATCACCCACTGCGTCTGAGATCAGAGCACCAAGCTCAGCAGCACCAGGCTGAATTCCCCATGAGTCCTGTGACCTCAGCCCACGCGGGGACCTACAGGTGCTACAGCTCACGCAGATTCTTCCCCTACCTGCTGTCTCACCCCAGTGACCCCCTGGAGCTCGTGGTCTCAGGTGAGGCCGCTGACCCTGTCCTCTCTGAGCTCAAACCTCAGCTCAGGCCCTGCCCCCAGGAGAGCTCAGGACGCTAAGGAAAGAGGGGAGTAAAGGGGGAGGGTCGGCAGGGGAGGGCCCAGCCCATGAGAGGGTGGAAATAGTCAGGGACCTCCTAATCCTGGGCTCCCACCCCAGAGACCTCAGATGGGGCTAAAGGCCAGGGAGGGCTGAAATGAGATATGGAGAAACCTTGGAGGAATCATGCTTAGGCTGAGGGTAGAAGATGGAGGCCCCACCCACTCCCCACCTGGGCTCCCCTGGCGGCCCCAAAATACTCAGTGCATACCTGAGACGAAGGGGAGATCATGCACCTGCTCACTGCAGCAATGCAGGCAAATTATTCAACAGCAAACCTCGTGTGCAATTCCTTTCTGTCCTTTATTTTTTATGTCCACATATCTAGTTTCTCTTTCTGTTTCTGAAGATTTCAAAGCAATGCTGGCATTTATAATTTACACATTTAATTTGTTAGGTAGCGTTATGATGTAAAATAACTGTGCTCTGATTTTCTTTGGGATTAAATTAAATATGTGCATTCATGATGGAGAATAACTTCTCATTAATAATGTCTTTGTATCCAATACATTTAAAATTAAACTTTATACAGTTAGCAGATGCTTGAAGTTGTATTCATAAAAATTGTGGACATTGTGAATTTTAAGCATTGTTTTACTACTTGAATAATTTGAAAGTCTTTGATTCCTTTCTATTTTCTAAAATTAGTTACGTATGGATGAGAAAGCTATTGGTTTGGGTATGCTAATTTTAGTTCCTATTAACTTACCACAGACACACTCCCTTTCAATCCTTTCCGAAATGATCTCTTCTGATTTATTGATAATAATTACATTAACCACAAGAAAATGGAGGACAAACTTGTTTGTTTCTAAATTATATAATACTCTTCTCACTTCAAATATATATGTATGTGTTTATATATACTCACACACTATTATATATCTTATAATATATATTATGTATTATATATTTATATATACACTATTATATATCTTATATATTATGTATTATATATTTATATATACCCACACATTATTATATCTTATAATATATATTATGTATTATATATTTATATATACCCACACATTATTATATCTTATAATATATATTATGTATTATATATTTATATATGCACTATTATATATCTTATATATTATGTATTATATATTTATATTACCCACACATTATTATATCTTATAATATATATTATGTATTATATATTTATATATACACACACTATTATATATCTTATTATATATTATGTATTATATATTTATATATACTATTATATATCTTATAATATATAATGTATTATATATTTATATATACACACACTATTATATATCTTATATATTATGTATTATATATTTATATATACATACTATTATATATCTTATAATATATTATGTATTATATATTTATATATATACACTATTATATATCTTATTATATATTATATATTTATATATGCACACACTATTACATATCTTATTATATATTTATATGTATACACACACTATTATATATCTTATTATATATTATGTACTATATATTTATATATACTATTATATATCTTATAATATATAATGTATTATATATTTATATATACACACACTATTATATATCTTATATATTATGTATTATATATTTATATATACATACTATTATATATCTTATAATATATTATGTATTATATATTTATATATATACACTATTATATATCTTATTATATATTATATATTTATATATGCACACACTATTACATATCTTATTATATATTTATATGTATACACACACTATTATATATCTTATTATATATTATGTACTATATATTTATATATACTATTATATATCTTATAATATATAATGTATTATATATTTATATATACACACACTATTATATATCTTATATATTATGTATTATATATTTATATATACATACTATTATATATCTTATAATATATTATGTATTATATATTTATATATACACACTATTATATATCTTATTATATATTATATATTTATATATGCACACACTATTACATATCTTATTATATATTTATATGTATACACACACTATTATATATCTTATATATTATATATTTATATATACTCACACTATATCTTATAATACATATTATGCATACACATATGCATAATACATATTATCTATACACATATGCATAATACATATTATGTATACACATATGCATAACACATATTATGTATACACACATATTTACACCTATGCATATATGTATGTATGTATGCGAATGTACCTCTGCCACGGCAGGGAAAGGTTCTATCACACAACTACAGAGCAGTTAGGAGAAGTGTAGACACAAAGGAATGCAGCAACTGAGGGACATGTTGGCTTAAGTCTCTTCAACTCCTCACACACCTCCCCCTTTTTTGGTTGATTCTCAGGAGCAGCTGAGACCCTCAGCCCATCGCAAAACAAGACAGACTCCAAGACTGGTGTGTAAGGAGATGCTCTCGGTTATGGGGCTGGCACAGAGGGTCAGGTCCTGTGAAGGGGAGGTGGGTGCCCTGGGTGGACATCCAGGGGTCCCGGGTGATGTTGATCTGCCCTGACCTCTGAGACCTCTTGGTCCACCATCCCCAGCCTCACACCCCCAGGATTACACAGTGGAGAATCTCATCCGCGTGGCTGTGGCTGGCTTGGTCCTGGTGGTCCTCGGGATTCTGCTGCTTTAGGACTGGCACAGCTAGAGAAGTCCCCAAGATGCAGCAAGGAGGTAAATACATGAGAGAACAATGCACCCTTCAGAGTGCCAGAGCCTTGGCAATGAATCTGATAGTCCTAGGAGGTTCTGGAAGAAAGTCTGGACCATCATTCGGGAAACCGTCTACTGAGAAAGTCGAGAAGGGGAGGCTTGGGTCAGGTTCAGGAAGATGTCTGGGTGCCTGTAGAGAACGCTTCCTCCATTAAACTTCCATTAAATGGCAGTGCTTTCAGTCCTGCTGTTGTGGATCCTCCGTGTCTGCCCCTCCCTTCCTTTCGCTCTCTGTGATGTGAAGGCACGTCCCCCATGGTGGGTTTGCATCCACACCCCTGCGATCACGTGCTCTGGTCCACTGTCATGTAATACATTTGTCTTTGTTTCCAACTACCGCATTCTCTAAAGTGAACTATTGATTCTCCATCTTTTCAGTTCTGAGCATAGATCTGGATTAAATAACTGGAATAGGTGGGCAGATTTGTATTTGGGACTTTGAAACATGAGTCTGAGGCCAGGCACAGTGGCTCACACCTGTAATCCCAGCACTTTGGGAGGCTGAGGTGGGCGGATCACTTGAGGTCAGAAGTTCGAGACCAACCTGGCCAACATGGTGAAACCCTGTCTCTACTAAAAGATACAAAAATTAGCTGGGTGTGGCAGTGAGCACCTGTAATCCCAGCTGCTCAGGAAGCTGAGGCGGGAGAATAGCTTGAACCCGGGAGGCGGAGGTTGCAGTGAGCCAAGATCTTGCCACTGCACTCCAGCCTGGGCAACAGAGCAAGACTCCATCTCCAAAAAAAAAAAAAAAAAGGGAAATATGAGTCTGAAATGATGCCCTAGCACCCTCTCTGGACCCTGAATTCCCTTCACTCTTCATCGGATGATACCTGTGTACTTTGTCCAGAAATATCATCTCTCAGAATGAGCACACTAACGCTCGAAGGCTCAGCCTCATGGTATTCTGTTAAACTGGCTCTCTGAAAAAATTATTTTCTTAAGAAAACTCTGAACATATAAAGCCCCAGATTTATGGTATTTGCTGATTAGTGTGGTATAAATACGTCCTTTATGGCCAACTTCAGGGTGCCCATATGACGCCATTGAATGCACAGTTGGGAAGTAGTCAAAAGAATTGTCGTTCACACGAGTATGAACCAGTTGTAAAGTTTATTTAAAGGTTATAATAATTTCTGCTTCATTCTTATGGTGTAGTTTCAGTAAAATTGTAATGTCAAAAATCATAGCACAATGGAGGGAAAAGAAAAAAATAGGCCGGGTGTGGTGGCTCATGCCTGTAATCCCAACACTTTGGGAGGCCGAGGCAGGAGGATCACCTGAGGTCAGGAGTTCGAGACCAGCCTGGCCAACATGGTGAAACGCTGTCTCTACTAAAAATACAAAAATTAGCCAGACATGGTGGCGCCTGCCTGTAATCCCAGCTACTTGGGAGGCCAAGGCACGAGAATCGCATGAACCCAGGAGGCGGAGGTTGCAGTGAGCCGAGATCACTACAGCCTGGGTGATAGAGCAAGACTCAGTCTCAAGAAAAGAAAAAAGTAGCAAAATCATTTTTTGGAAAGAATATTGAACATGTAGAATTTTAGTACATTAATAGTAAGAGTACAAATTGCTTTAATCAATTAAGGAAGTGTATTGGAATTATCTAGTTAAAAAGAGGAGGCACATGGCTGTGACCCTTCTTAATTATGTACTTAATTATGTACCCTAGAGATAAATGTCTACTTATGTGTCATGATACACTCACAACTGTTATAGGAATGCTGTTCCTATTAGCCAAAGCTATAAAATACCAAAGTCCACCTACGAAAAAAATAAACATAGTGTGGTAAATAGACTCAGTGGAATATTACAAGGTAGTAAAATGCATAAATGAAAATAACAAACAGCACCATACTTCAATTTTCAAGCATAAAGTCAAGTAAATGAAGTATTATTTGAAAATGTGTGCATGGTTATTTCATTACATAAAGGTCAAAAGGAGGGTACATTTATTATTTAGGAAAACACACCTAAGATATCTTTGTAAAATCTGTAAAATCAATAGTACTGTTTCCCCTCTTTCATTCCTTATCTTGAAAATGCTTGTCTCTTTTTCTGCCATGGCTTTCTACCTTGCTTGATATATTACAATTTTGTAACCTGCTTATTTCATCATATGTCATAAGTTCACATGTATATCCCATGAATTATTGAGGGTCTTATTCATTTCAAGTGGCATTTAGGTTTTTAAAAATATCTTTTGGCGACCAGGTGCAGTGGCTCATGCCTGTAATCCCAGCACTTTGGGAAGCCAAGGCAGGTGGATCACGAGTTCAAGAGACAGAGATCATCCTGGCGAACATGGTGAAACCCCGTCTCTACTAAAAATACAAAAAAAAAAAAAAAAATAGCTGGGCATGGTAGAGGGTGCCTGTAGTCCCAGCTTCTCAGGAGGCTGAGGCGGGAGAATGGCATGAACCCGAGAGACGGAGGTTGCAGTGAGCCGAGATCGTGCCACTGCACTCCAGCCTGGCAACAGAGTGAGACTCTGTCTCAAAAAAAAAAAAAAAAGAAAGAAAGAAAGGAAGAAAAAAAAATCTTCTGGCATTAACTATTAAGAAATTGCACTATAAAAAGAGAATATAATGCATAAGACGGCAATTTGAAAAGATTCAGATATAATTTTTTCTTATCTAGTAAATACTTAGTAATTTGTCTAATGCATGCCTTAAATACATACCACTTTATGCAGAGGTTGCCATGAGCCGAGATCGCGCCGTTGCACTCTAGCCTGGGTGGCAGAGCAAGACTCCATCTCAAAAAAAAAAAAGAAAATCTCACAGAAGGAGACCCAGAGCTTCCAGCCTCGCCCAGAGTCTTGGCTCACTCCCTGTGTGTGTGGACCCTAGGGAGCCTCTTCTGTTCCCCACAGAGGTGGAAACTTCCTCCTTAATAACCCCTTGATGGTCCCAGGCACTGGTGACCACTGAGCTTTGCTCTCTCTTTTTTCTTATGGTTCCCTGTCTACTTCCAGGGCTATCACTTTACTTTTTGTGCATTAGACCATGAATAATGTTTTAGAAACATTCTATCAAATTTCTCAGTGCTAGGAACAACTGAGGTTTTTGATTGGGTGCCTCAAATGTCTACCCTTACTGTGGAGTCCGACAACAGGATTCTAACAAGTCCCAACCCCTTCATGCCTTAACCTGGTCTGGAAATAAATTATGTTTAAGCCATCCCATACCCCAGCCACATCAAGCCCCACAACCACTCTGAGAAGTGAGATTTATAGCAAAATGCTCCAAACAAGGTAACTAAGGTTCAGACAAGGGATGTTAATGTGTCCATTTACATAAACAAAAAATGGTAGATGATCAGCTTTCCCTTTGAAATCAGAGTACTAATCTGACTCATTGTTCCCTGAATTTTAGAGGCAGGACCTCAGGAGGAGCTAAGAATCCTACCCCAGGAAAATTACCAATATCAGAAAGGAAACAATGACATCAGTACAGATCCTACAGAATTCAAAAGATTCTAAGTGGACATTATGAAGACATTATTCAGCTTAGATGAAGTGGTCACATATCACAAGAAAACAAACTGTCTAAAACAATCTCTGAAATACCTAGACATTCCCTGAATCATTGAGTTATTAAATAAAATACATTTTAAAATTAAACTCTTTTCAGGAAATAAACTTCAATGTCCCCTAGTGCACTCTCCAAAACATGTAGATGGGAATAAATACTGTTCTGAAAGACATTTCCCTGGAATTACAACCATTCAATATATTTTAAAAGGCAATCATAAAAATATAAAAAGGATATATCAGGAGAAGAAATGTAAATGGCCTAAATTCCCCACATAAAAGGCATAGAGTGGCAACGTGGATAAAAAGCCAAGAGCCAACTGCCTGCTGTCTTCAAGAGACCCATCTCACATGTAATGACACCCACAGGCTCAAAGTAAAAGGATGAAGAAATATTTACTAGGCAACCAGGAAACAAAAAAAAGGAAGGCATTCCTATTCTTATATCACATGAAACACACTTTAAATCAACAGCAATCAGGAAGGACAAAGAAGGGCATTACAAAATGATAAAGGGTTCAATTTGACAGAAGACTTAACTATTCTAAATATATATGCACCCAAATTTGGAGCACCCCGATTCATAAAACAAGTTATTCTTCACCTATGAAAAGAGTTAGACAGCCACACAATAATAGTAAGGGACTTCAGTATCCCACTAACAACGTCAGATGAATCACTAAAACAGAAAACTAACAAAGAAATTCTGGTCTTAAAGACAACACTTGACCAATTGGACCTCATAGACATCTACAGAGTACTCCACCCAACAACTGCAGAATATAGATTCTTCTTATCTGCACACACAAAAAACATATCATATTCTAAGACTGGCCACAAAGCAAGTCTCAATAAATTCAAAGAATCAAAATCATAACAAGGCACACAATAAAAATAGAAAAAAATACCAAGATGATCTCTCAAAACTACAGAAAAACATGGAAATTTAACAACTTGTTTCTGAATGAATATTAAGAGCCATCTATGACAAATCCACAGCCAACATCATATTGAATGGTCAAAAGCTGGAACTGTACCCCTTGAGAACTCTTGGGTGAACAATGAAATTAAAGCAGAAATCACAAAACATTATTTAAAATTAATAAAAATAGAAACAAACTTACCAAAACCTTTGGGATGCAGTTAAAGCAGTGATAAGAGGAAAATTTATAGCAATACATGCCTCATCAGAAGTTTAGAAAGATCTCAAATTAGTGACTTAACACTGCATCTAGAGGAACTATTAAAAAAAAGGAACAGTCCAAACCCAAGGCCAGCAAAAGATGAGAAATAACTAAAGTCAGAGAGAACTGAATAAATTGAGACCAAAAAGTCCATACAAGAGATAAATAAAACCAAGAGTTTTTCTTTGAAAAAAAATAAACAAAATTCATAGACTGTTAGCTAGATTAACAAAGAAAAAGAGAAAAGATCCAAATAAACACAAATAGAACTGACAAAACAATGTTACGAACAATCCCACAGAAATAGAAAAGATCGTCAAAGACTATTATGAACACCTCTATACAAACAAGCTAGAAAACCTAGAAGAAATGGATAAATTCCTGGTAACACAAAATTTATCATATTTCAACCAGGAAGAAAGTGAAAACCTGAACAGACCAATAACAAGTTCAGAAATTTAATCAGTAATAAAAACCCTACTAACTAAAAATAGCCCAGGACCAGATGGATTCACAGCCAAAATCCAACAGCCATACAAAGAAGAACTGATACCGATCTTACTGAAACTTTTGGAAAAAATCAAGGAGTGGGGGCTTCTTCCTAACTCATTCTATGAAGCCATCATCACCATGATACCAACATCTGTCAGAGACATAATGAAAAAAAGAAAACTACAACTAAATATCCTTAATGAACATAGACATAAAATCCTCAACAAAATGCTAGCAAATTGAATCTGTCAGTGCATCAAAAGTTAATTCACATGATCAAGTAAGCTTTATTTTTGGGATGCAAGGTTGGTTCAACCTACAAAGTCAACGAATGTGATTCACCTCATAAACATAATTAAAAACAAAAACTATATGATCATCTCAATAGATGCAGAAAAAGCTTTCTGTAAAATCCAACATCCCTTCATGATAAAAACTGTCAATAGGCATCAAAGGAACATACCTCAAAATATTAAGAGCCATCTATGACAAACCCACAGCCAACATCATATTGATGGGCAAAAGCTGGAACCATACCCCTTGAGAACCGAAACAAGACCAAGATGACCACTCCCGCCATTTTAATTCAACATGGTACTGGAAGTCCTAGCCAAAGCAATCAGGCAAGAGAAGGAAATAAAAGGCATTAAAATTGGAAAAGAAGTAGTGATACTGTCTCTCTTTGCTGATGAAATAATTTTATACATAGAAAACCCTAAAGACTCTGTCAGAAGGCTCCTGAAACTGATAAACAAATTCAATAAAGTTTCGGGATTAAAAAAATGTACACAAATTAGTAACATTTCTATGCACCACTAACATTCTAGCTGAGAACTAAATCAAGAACACAATTCCATTTACACTAGCCACAAAGAAAATAAAATACCTAGGAATCCATCTAACCAAGAAGGTGAAAATTCTCTACAAGGAGAACTACAAAACACTTCTGAAAGAAATAAGAAATGATACAAACAAATGGAAGAATATTCCATGCTCATGAATTAGGAGAACAAATAGTTAAAATCGCCATACTTCCAAAAACAAATTGCAGAGTCAATGCTATCCATTTCAAAATGCAATGTCATTTTTCACGAAATTATAAAAATTTATTCTAAAATGTATTTGGCACCAAAAAAAGAGCCTGAATACACATAGGAATCCTAAGCACAAAGAACAAAGCCCAGGCATCACATTACCCAACTTCAAACTATACTACAATGCTATAGTAACCCAAACAGCATGATACTACTACAAAAACAGACACATAGACCAATGAGACAGAATAGAGAACCCAGAAATGAGGCTACATACCTACAATCATCTTTGAAAAAATTGACAAAAACAAGCAATGTGGAAAGTACCCTTTCTTCAATAAATAGTTCTGGGATAACTGACTACTCATATGCAAAATAATAGAACTGGACCCCTAACTCTCACTATATACAAAAATTAACCCAAGATAGTTTAAAGATTTAAATGTAAAACCTCAAAATATTAAAATTCTAGAAGAAAACCTAGGAAATATCCTTCTCAAGATAGACTTTGGCAAAGAATTTATGGCTAACTCCCCAAAACCAATTGTGACAAAGACAGAAATTGGGACCTAACTCAACTGAAGAGCTTCTGCACAGCAAACGAAAGTATCAACAGAGTAAACAGATAACCTACAGACTGGGAGAAAATATTTGCAAACTATGCATCTGACAAAGTTCTAATATCCAGAATCTATAAGGAATGTAAACAAATCAACAAGCAGAAAACCAAAAAACCTCAATTAAGTATGACATGAACAGACACTTCTCAAAAGAAGATGTACACATGGCCAAAAAACATATGAACAAATGCTTATTATCAGTAATCATCAGAGAAATGCAAATTAAAACCACAGTGAGATACCATCTCACAACAATCAGAGAAGCAGAAGCAATTACTAAAAAGTTTTTTGTTTTTTTTAATAACAGATGCTGACAAGATTGTGGAGAAAAGGGAACACTTATACACTCTTGGTGGGAATGTTAACTAGTTCAGCCAATGTGATAAGCAGTTTGGAGACTTCTCAAATAACTTAAAATAGAACTACTATTCAATCAAGCAATCCCACTACTGGGTATATACCAAAAGGAAGGTAATTAACTATGTCAAAAAGACACATGCACTAGTATATTCATTGCTGTGCAATTCAGAATAGCAAAGATTTGCAGTCAACCTAAGTGCTCACCAACAGTGGATTAGTTAAAGAAAATGTGCTACATATACACATGGAACATTACATGGCCATAAAAAATAATGAAATCATGTCCTTTGCAGCAACATGAATGTAGCAGGAGGTCAATCTCCTAAGTGAACTAACCCAGGAACAGAAAACCAAATACCACATGTTATCACTTATAACTGAGAACCAAACATTGAATACACATGAACATAAAGATGGAAACAACAGATACCGAGGACTACAGATGGGGGGAGGAGTAGGGAGGTATAGGCTGAAGAAACACCTGTTGGATTCTATGCTCATTGCCTGGGTGATGGCATTGTTGGAACCACAAACCTCAGAGTCACACAATATGCCTATGTAACAAACCTGCATGCATACCTTTAATCTACAGTAAAGGTTGAAGTTATTTAAAAATAGGAAGAAGAATTACCCTATACCTAAAGCTAAGATTTTTCCCTTTGAATATTCGTTTCTTCATCACTGTAGATAAGCAGGGAAAGAAAAATTATTATACTATACTAGCCTTTTATGTGACCATGAGGATTTGGGGTAGGTAGGTGGACAGCTTAGATAATTCACCAGGATATTGATACAGGCTCCATGGCTGGAAATAACCAAGGATGAGTGCTGTGTTTTGAGTGGTCTCCCCCAGAAACGTTTGTTGAAATCCTAACCCCTGGTATGTATGAATGTGAATTCATATTATATAAAAAGGAATAAATAGCCTGAGCACAGTGGCTCACACCTGTAATCCCAGCACTTTGGGAGGCCAAAGCAGGTGGATCATTTGAGGTCAGGAGTTCTGGCCAATATGGCAAAACTTCATCTCTACAAAAAAAAAATACAAAAAAAAAAATTGGCTGGGTATGGTGGCGCATGCCTGTAGTCCCAGCTACTCAGGAGGCTGAGGCAGGAATTGCTGAAACCTGGAAGGCAGAGGTTGCAGTGAGCCAAGATCATGCCACTGCACTCCAGCCTGGGTGAGACGGCAAGATATTCTGTCAAAAATAAATAAATAAAAAACAGAAGAAGAAATACAAGAATGACAGCAAACTTTGTATTCAAAACTATGAAAGTAAGAAACAGGTGGACCAACATTTTTAAAGTGCTACAAGAAAATATTTCAAACTAGAATCTTTCAACCTGAAAAGGAAAACATTTTCCTGCAATAAAGGTGCCATTAAAAATGTCTCACAATTTATTACATGAAGCATTGTTCTACAATAAATGTTAAGCTCTTGAAGCAAAGATTAATGATACCATTTAGTAACTTGAAATTCAAAAAAGTGGAAGTATCCCAAGAGGCAAATACGTGTGCAATTATTAAATGTTTCATATCAACACCCAACCTTATGCTGTCTACATAAGCTGCACTTCAAATACTAATCCACAAGATGTAAATATTGAAAGAATGACATTACCTTGTCATGATAATGCCCAGTGCAAAATATGCTTCTAGTCAGTTGTATACATAGAATAGGTAAATGTTTGTAATAAAAAGTATTCCTCAATAGAAGTTTCTTAACTCAAAGAATGAAATATTTCACCATGCACATACAAAGAAGAGATATATGGAGATATGAAGAGGAGTACTTCATAATGACAAAGAGGCAAATTCATAAATAAGACATAATCATCCTAAATGCCTACACACTTAAAGCTGGAACCTCAAAACACATTAAATTAAAGGCATAATTCAAAACATAATCAATCACATCCAAATTGCAGCTAGAGATAGCAACATTCACCTCACTTCCAGAACAAGTACACAGAAAATTATTAAGCATATGAAAGACTTGAAAAACATTTGTGTAGGCGGCGGGTGCATAAGGTTGGGTGTTGATATGAAACATTTAATAATTTCAATAATCCTAGCACTTTGGGAGGCCAAAATGGGAGGATCACTTGAGGCCAGGAGTTTGAGACCAGCCTGGGCACCATAGTGAGACCCCGTCTCTATTTTTTTTAAATAAAGAAAAACATTTGAATGATTTTTTTCTTAACTGACATTTAGAAAACATCCACCTCAAATCTTCCTAATCCACAAACTTGTCTAGCACCCCTGGAACATTCACCAAAATAAATTTTTAAATGCTGAATCATAGGTAATATGATAGATGAAACAGTTGAATTAAATTATAAATGTACAACAAGGAAATGCTGGGGAAATTATCAAATATTTTAAAATTAATAAACACACATAGCAATAAACAATGAGTGGAAGAAAAACATTTCAAAGAAAGGTGGAAAATATTTTGTATCAATTAAAAATGAAAACACATCTCGGCAAATGACTGGGGATACAGATAGAACAGCGTTAAGGGACAATAAGCCTCAAATGTCTGTGTTAGAAAAGAAGGAAGAGCTGAGTAAATAGGTAACTTTCACTTGCAGAAATACTACACATCAGCAAATTAATTCCAAAGTAACGTCGAGGAAAAACATAAAATGGCAAGCAAATATATACGTGCATATGTACATACATTCATAAATGACAAACAGGACAGAAAAATCAGTGACATCAATTTTGTTCCTTAGAAGAAACAGGAAAATTGACCCCAAAAAACTTTCCAGGCCACATTTGGTCATGATGGAAATATTTTGGCACTTCCTGGTTAAGCTCAACACCAACTTGCACCCAAAACCAATAATTTCATTTCTAGGTAAATATGTCTAATTAATTCAGCATATGTATGCAAGGGATCACACAGAAACACGATTATCAAGGCCCGAGTTATAAAAGAGAAAATCCGGAAACAACACAAATGTCCATGATAAAAAGAATGGATAATTACATGTTGATAAAGTTATGCATGGACTATTAAACTGCAATCCAAAAGAATAAAATAGAGCTATAAAATTCAATATGTATATGGTGTCATAGAAACACAAATGTGAGAAAAAGAAAGAAAAATACAAAATTTATATTTTTTAAAATTTGAAACAACTATATATGTGAGTGCTTAGGGTGTGTGTGTGTGTGTGTGTGTGTGTGTATAACCATATGTATATAAATGCACACATACGCACACATATAGAATGTCCCGGCCAGGCATGGTGGCTCACACCTGTAATCTCAGCACTTTGGGAGGCTGAAGTAGACAGATCACTTGAGGTTAGGAGTTCAAGACCAGCCTGGCCAACATGGAGAAACCTCCTCTCTACTAAAAGTACAAAAATTAGGTGGGCGTGGTGGTGGGTGCCTGTAAATCCAGCTACTTAGGAGGCTGAGGCACGAGAATTGCGTGAACCTGGGAGGTGGAGGCTGCAATGAGCCGAGGTCTCACCACTGCATTCCAAACTGGGTGACGAAGTGAGATTGCATCTCAAAAAAAAAAAAAGTTCTAAAAGTTGTGACTTGGGTGTGGCAGATTGTGACATACTGCCAGCTGCTAGAAATGCTGGGGCAGGAGGATTGCTTGAACTCTGAAGTCAAAGAACAGCCTGGGGAAAATAGCACATGAAGAAGAGTTTGAATCTCAGATAAAAACAACAAAAATACATCAAAAGTCTTTAATGTAAGCCAAGCATTCAGTCATCTCCTGTATGAGAGATTGGATCTGAGACGTGTTTTGAGTTGGTTATAGTGAAGGATGCAAGGTGTCAATTCTAGTTGGAACAATTTCCAGGAAGCCATGTTCTGCTCTTGACCAAACAGCCACTGGGCCTCATGCAAGGTAGAAATAGCCTGCATACGTCATCCTCCCATGATGTGGTCAGCATGTAAACTGCATGAGCCCCTCACAACATCCTGTGTGCTGCTGAACTGAGCTGGGGCGCAGCCGCCTGTCTGCACCGGCAGCACCATGTCGCTCATGGTCGTCAGCATGGCGTGTGTTGGTGAGTCCTGGAAGGGAATCGAGGGAGGGAGCGGTGGGGTGGAGATCTGGGCCTGGAGTGGAGATATGGGCCTGGAGTGGAGATATGGGCCTGGAGTGGAGATATAGGCCTGGAGTGGAGATATGGGCCTGGGGTGGAGATATGGGCCTGGAGTGGAGATATGGGCCTGGAACTGTAGATATGGGCCTGAAGTAGAGATATGGGCCTGGAGTAGAGATATGGGCCTGGAACTGTAGATATGGGCCTGGAGTGGAGATATTGGCTTGGAGTGCAGATATGGACCTGGAATTGAGATACGGGCCTGGAGGTGGAGATATGGGCCTAGAGTGGAGATATGGGCCTGGAGGTGGAGATATGGGCCTGGAACTGTAGATATGGGCCTGGAGTAGAGATATGGGCCTGGAGTGGAGATGTTGGCTTGGAGTGCAGATATGGGCCTGGAATGGAGACACGGGCCTGGAGGTGGAGATACAGGCCTGGAGGTGGAGATATGGGCCTGGAGTGTAGATATGGGCCTGGAGTAGAGATATAGGACAGAGGTGGAGATATAGGCCTGGAGTGGAGATATGGGCCTGGAGTAGAGATATAGGACGGAAGTGGAGATATGGGCCTGGAGTGGAGATATGGGCCTGGAGGTGATGTACAGATGGATCATCCATCATGATCTTTCTTTCCAGGGTTCTTCTTGCTGGAGGGGCCCTGGCCACATGTGGGTGAGTCCTTCCCCCAAACCTTAGGTTGTCATCTCCCCACATAAGATGATGTTCCTGAAACGGGAGGCAGGCGACACAGGGGGTTGACTGATGGGCTGACCATGGGAAGCCATGTGGGAATCTCTCATGAACTAGGAAAAGGAAGCCAGGGGAAGCTTCGCCACAGTTCTGTCCTAGCCCTCCCCGGCCTTTCTTTCCCTTGGCTGAGTCTGTGGGGACCCAGGGGGAGACTGAAGTGCTCAAAGGAGTGGTGTGCAGGGAGGAAGTGGTGTCACCGGCAGAGGAAGGGAGAGAAGCAGTGCAAGGAACAACAGGCCTCTGAGGACAAGAGCATAACTCACACCCTCCAGCGTTTCCATGACGGTAGGGGCTGCAATGTGGCTGCTGTCATTCTACCTAAGAGGTGGGGGAACCACAGTCATGACCCTGACATTCCAGATCTTCTAATAGGGGCTCAGTTGTTTATTATGGTTCATGCATTAGCTGATCATGCCCTCCATCCTGTGTCTACCTTGTGTTCTTTTATGTAAGTAATTTTGCAGTGTTAAAATCTAGTAAGAGTCGCTTCTTCAGCACCTGCTCAAAGTTCTCAGCTGACACTTGCTGTAGGGAGACGCCATGTCTATGCGGGATGGGTCCTTCCTGTAGCCCTGGGCACCCAGGTGTGGTAGGAGCCTTAGAAACGTGGAAATGGGAGAATCTTCTGAGCACAGGGAGGGAGGGGCGGCTCCACATCCTCCTCTCTAAGGTAGTGCCTCCTTCTCCCCCAGGTGGTCAGGACAAGCCCTTCCTCTCTGCCTGGCCCGGCACTGTGGTGTCTGAAGGACAACATGTGACTCTTCAGTGTCGCTCTCGTCTTGGGTTTAACGAATTCAGTCTGTCCAAAGAAGACGGGATGCCTGTCCCTGAGCTCTACAACAGAATATTCCGGAACAGCTTTCTCATGGGCCCTGTGACCCCAGCACATGCAGGGACCTACAGATGTTGCAGTTCACACCCACACTCCCCCACTGGGTGGTCGGCACCCAGCAACCCTGTGGTGATCATGGTCACAGGTCAGAGGCTTTCTGTCTGGGCTTCTCACTGTCCCACCTCCTGAATCCCAGAGCTTCTGGTGGGGGTGTCCATCAGGGTCCAATCATCCAGGCCCAGACTGTATTTGGGGTAAAGGGGGATTCAGTACAGAGAAATAGTTGCTGTGGTGGGAAGAATAATTGTCCCCAGTGATGGCTACATGGTAATCCATGAACCCTGTGACTATTTATGTCATAGGGCAGGGGACTGAAGGGGAAGATGGAGCTCAGGTTGTTGATGGGTTGACCTTGCGATGGGGAGACAGCCTGGACTGTCCTGCTGTGCTCAGAGTAATCACAAGGGTCCTCATGAGAGGAGGAGGAAGAGGAAAGTGGGGTTAGAGCAACGTCGTGGGAGGGAGACTCCATCAGCCACAGCGGGCTTTGAAGATGGGGGAAGGCCATGAGCCACAAAGGCAGTTGGCCTCTAAGGGCTGGAGAAGTCAAGGGAACTGATTCTTCCCTGAGTCTCCAGAGGAAACACAGCCCTGTAGATGCCTTGATTTTAGCCCAGAGAGAACTGGGTCCGATTTCTGTTCTCCAGAAGTGGAAGGGGTCATTGTATTCTCTCCTGCCCCATGTTTGTGACAATTTTCTCCAGCAGCAACAGGAAACCAACACAGGAACCCAGGTGAAGCACAAGTTAAGAAACCAAACAAGGAGAAGGTTGGCTACACTGATTTTAGCATGGGTGGGATACTGATGCTACCACCAGGCTCGATCCACATAGGGAGGGGTTGATGCTCCTGGAACCAGCACCAGGGGCCACCCTATGGAAGCTGGGGCCATGGAGAAGGCACAGACATGACAGGAGAGGCTCCCAATCCCCATCAGGAACAGGGACACTGATGCCTGCCTTACTGATGAGTTCGTACCTCCTGCCAGCCTTTCCAATCTGTCCAAAAGAGATTGATTCAGGCTGCTAAGAGCCTGGACATGCAGCCTGTCGTGGTTCCTCTTCCACCCCCACATAAACACCAGGAAAGAGATTAGTGGGAAACAGATACAACAGCATAAGAGGTGACACTGAGCACAGTGGGAAGGGAATCAGGGCTACTAGAGACAGAGAGACAGGGAAGAGGGAGGGAGACAGATGGAGGGACCTGCAACAGGGGTTATGGGCACAAAAGAACACGGAGACACAGAGAGGAAGGAGAGAGATAGACACCATGGAGGGGAAGCCTCACTTATTTCAGGTCCCATGAATGGGATGAG
The DNA here is from genome assembly GCF_000001405.40 of Homo sapiens. NCBI lineage: Eukaryota > Metazoa > Chordata > Mammalia > Primates > Hominidae > Homo > Homo sapiens. The sequence continues at coordinate 141,519 of NT_187645.1, read as the reverse complement.
AAAGGGAGACGCCTTCTGAACTCACAACCTCTCTTCTTAGGAGTCCACAGAAAACCTTCCCTCCTGGCCCACCCAGGTCCCCTGGTGAAATCGGGAGAGACGGTCATCCTGCAATGTTGGTCAGATGTCAGGTTTGAGCGCTTCCTTCTGCACAGAGAGGGGATCACTGAGGACCCCTTGCGCCTCATTGGACAGCTCCACGATGCGGGTTCCCAGGTCAACTATTCCATGGGTCCCATGACACCTGCCCTTGCAGGGACCTACAGATGCTTTGGTTCTGTCACTCACTTACCCTATGAGTTGTCGGCTCCCAGTGACCCTCTGGACATCGTGGTCGTAGGTGAGAGAATACAGACCTGCCTCTCACCCTTGCTGGGAGATGGAGTGAATGATCTAGGACTGGAAGCCCCAGGTGGTCATGAGGAAGATGAGTGTGGGGTTCCTATGGAGAGAAAGTGACTTGGTGAGGTCTGTACCAACAAAGGCAGAGAAACAGGAGACACAAGTACAGACCTCATGTCATAACATAGAAGCCAGACACAGGGGCCATACAAGGTGTTAGAAAAAGAGATAAAGAGGTAAAGAAGACACAGAGAGACAGATATATCCCAGAGAGAGGTGTCCTTCTATGCTGACTTTGTTCAGAGACCAGGCACAGGTTAGAAGGTTCCATTCTGTTTTACCTCTACAAAGTGTTCTCTCCCAGGAGAACCCAAAGAGACACATCTATCTGGCCTGAGTTGGGCCGTGTGGCCCCAGGCTGGTGGCACCTACAGATGCTGTGTTTATTCTTAAACCTCTGCCTTCCGTGCAGTGGAGCTGTCGTCGTCGCAGGACACCATGGCCCCAGGTGAGGGAGCAGAACACCAACCCCTGTATGTTGTGAGTTCCTGGAGTCCCCATACTGGATTCTGAGGCTCATATTCAAATAGCACCACATGTTATAGGATTACTGAGAACAAAAGCCCACAGAGAGACACGGAGTGAAATCAGGGAAATCAAAAAGCAAAGACATGAACACACACACAGAATGAGCCAGAAGAAGGGAATTGAGAGACTCACAGACACATAAAGAGATAGAAAAAGAGGGCAGAGAAGTGGAGCGTATGATGGAAGGAAGCAGAGAAAAGCCCTAAAATCAGAGCCCTGAGGGAGGGGCACAAAGACAGGGAAAGATAAAGATGTGGGGATGGATTGCAGAGACTCCAAAAGGGAACTAGAGAGACTGAGAGGCAGAGAAAGACAAGGAGATGGAGAGAGACAGATGATAGATGGATAGATAGATATAGATAGATGAAAGATAAAAGGTAGATGATAGATAATAGAGAGACAGGTGATAGACAAATAGATGATGAATGACTGATAGATGATATAGATAGACAAGTAGAAAGACAGACAGATGATATATAAATAGATATAGAGAGATAGAAAGATAAACACATGATGATAGATGGATAGATGCATACATACATACATTGATTGATAGATGATAGATAACAGAGAGATAGGTCATAGATACACAGATGATGATAGATGATAGATACATACATAGATAAATGATAGATCGATCAATAGATAGTAGATAGAAATATGCAGAAAGTTATGAGCAAGACAGAAAGTGAGAGACTCAGAATTAAAGAAAGAGGAAGATCAAGTCAACCAGTCCAAGGAGGGTCAGAGAGAATAAAATGGTACAAAAAAAGAAAACATAGCTAGGGATGGAGAAGTGAGGTCAGAGACCTAGAGAGACAGAGAAGGTGGAAGGAGGAAATAGACATGAAGAGAGATGGGGGTGGAGGGTGAGAGAGAGAAAGAGAGCATTAAGTCATAGAGCAGGGGAGTGAGTTCTCAGCTCAGGTGTGAGGAGAGCTGTGACAACGAAGAACCTCCCTGAGGAAACCACCTCTTCTCCTTCCAGGTCTATATGGGAAACCTTCTCTCTCAGCCCAGCCGGGCCCCACGGTTCAGGCAGGAGAGAATGTGACCTTGTCCTGCAGCTCCCGGAGCTTGTTTGACATTTACCATCTATCCAGGGAGGCAGAGGCCGGTGAACTTAGGCTCACTGCGGTGCTGAGGGTCAATGGAACATTCCAGGCCAACTTCCCTCTGGGCCCTGTGACCCACGGAGGGAACTACAGATGCTTCGGCTCTTTCCGTGCCCTGCCCCACGCGTGGTCAGACCCGAGTGACCCACTGCCCGTTTCTGTCACAGGTGAGAAAACACCATGCCTGTCCCATGTCTTGTGATCCTAGAGCCATAGCTGAGGAGCTTCCTGCTGATGATGGAGAGAAGCATGGACAGATGCCGAGACAGAACACACAGCATGGGTGTAAGGGCGGGGTCAGGGGGCAGGATGGCAGACAGGGCACCTCCAAACCCTCCTGTATGGCCTGCAAGGAGGCCCTTGATCAGGGTTCCAGGCACCCAGGCAGATGGAGAAAGAGGTCAGAACAGACCCAGAGGAGGGAGACTGGGCTCTGCCTGGGGAGATCAGAGGTTCTCTCAGCCCCTCAACCTTACCCACTTCCCAGAAGCCCATCCTGGCCTGTCACCCACAGAGAGATGTCATCACCAGCAACGCCTACACCCTTTTCTTTTTGTTTGAAGAAATATTTATTGAGGTGAAATATACCTATGTAATTTACCACCTTTACCATTTTTAAGTGTGAAGTCTACTGTTCATAAATACATTTATAGGCTGGGCACGGTGGCTCACTGTTGTAATCCCAACACTTTGAGAGGCCAAGGCAGGTGGATCATTTGAGATCAGGGGCTCAAGACCACCCTGGCCAACATGGGGAAAATCCATCTGTACTAAAAATACAAAATAATAATAATAATGATAATAATTAGCCGAGCATGGTGGCACATGCCTGTAGTCCCAGCTACTTGGGAGGGTTGGGCAGGAGTTGCACTTAATTGCAGGAGGCGGAGGTTGCAGTGAGCTGAGATCATGCCACTGCACTGCAGCCTGGGCAACAGAGAGAGACACTCTCTCAAAATTAATTAATTAATTAATTAGTATTCTTTTTTTTTTACCCTCCACCCTTCCCTTCCTGGCCTCTGGTAGCCACCATTCTACTCTCTACCTTTGTGAGATCCACCTTTTAGCTCCTGCATATGAGTGAGAAATGGAAATACTTGTAATGACCTCCAGTTCCATTCATGTGGCTGTAAATGACAGGATGTTACTCTTTCTATGGATGAGTTGTCCCTATTGTGTGTGTGTACCACATTCTCTCCATCCATTCACCCACTGATGGGCAGGTAGGTTGATCCACATCTTGGCTACTGTGAACACTGCTGGAACAGTCATGGGAGTGCAGATGTCACTTCGATACGCTGATGTCCTTTCCTTTGGGTTTACACCCAGTCATGGAATTGCTAGATCCTCTGGAAGTGTCTTTTTACATTTTGTTTTATGGTTTTTGTTTTTGTTTTTGTTTTTTTTAGACAGTTTCACTCTTGTTGCCCAGGCTGGAGTGCAGTGGTGCCATCTGGGCTCACTGCAACCTCCACCTCCAGGATTCAAGAGATTCCCCAGCCTCAGCCTCCCAAGTAGCTGGGTTACTGGCTCCCACCACCACACTCGGCTAATTTTTATATTTTTAGTAGAGACAGAGTTTCGCTATATTGGCCAGGCTGCTCTTCAACTCCTGACCTCAAGTGACCTACCCACCTCGGCCTCCCAATGTGCTGGGATTACAGGCATGAACCACTGTGCCCGACCTCATTTTATTTTTTGAGGAACTTCCATACTCTTCTCCTCTGTAATGGCTGTACTAATTTGCATTCGTATCAGCAGTGTACCAGATGCAACCCTGGTTGACTCAGCAGAGCAAGAGACGTGCAGTAAGAGAGAATTTAGCTTATTTATGCACACGACACTTCCACTCACTCACTCGTTCAGCCAATGCCCCATGCTCTGGCTGTGCAGTGTGGAATCTTTTCCTATTGTTGCCATAACAAATTTCCACAAGCTTCGTGGATGAAAACATGTTTTTCTTAATTATCTCACAGTGCTGTAACTCAGAAGTATGAACTGCATTTCACTGGGCTGATATCAAAGGGACAGTAAGGCTGGATTTCTTTTTAAGGTTCCAAGCAAGAATCTGCTCCTTAACGTTTCCCAGCTCCTAGAGGCTCCCACGTTCCTGGGCCCCTGGTCCCCTTCCTCCTTCCTCCTTCCTCAAAGCCCACAAAGGCTGGTCACGTCTCACATGGCATCATTCAGACTCTTCTTCTTTACCCATACCTTTTTCTCTGAATCCTGCTCTGCCTTCTTCCTCATCTTTTAAGGACTTTGGGATTCTATTGGGGTCACCAAGATAATCCATCTCAATCTCCCTAAAATCATCCAGCGTACCCTCTTTTTAAGTTCAGCTGATTAGCAACCGTAATGCCATCTGCAATCTTCATTCCTCCTTTCCTGTAAAATAACATATTCACAAGCTATGGAGGCTAAGACAGGGACATTTTGGGGGTGGGGCAGCATTCTCCTGCCTTCCACAAATGGTAAACAGGATGCATTTGGCCTCTGCTCTTGGGACGCTGATATTGCAGATGGGTAAATGCGAGGGCAGAGAATGAATGCACAAGGGTACCAATAAATGAATGATCCATTGGGAAGCATCTGTGCACCAAATCTGGGGTTTTTTGTGTGTGTGTGTGTTTTTTGTTTTCTTTTTTTTTTTTGAGTAGAGTCTCTCTCTGTTCCACAGGCTGGAGTGCAGTAGCACAATCTCAGCTCATTGCAACCTCTGCCTCCTGGGTTCATGCAATTCTCCTGCCTCAGCCTACCGAGTAGCTGGGATTACAGCTGTGCGCCACCACACTCGGCTAATTTTTTTGGTATATTTTTTAGTAGAAATGAGGTTTCACCATGTTGTGCAGGCTGTCTCAAACTCCCAATCTCAAGTGATCCCACCGCCTTAGCGTCCCTAAGTGCAAAGATTACAGGCGAGAGCTACTGCGCCCAGCCAGGATTTAAAATAAGTAATAGATAATGCTGAGTATATAATTTCAGGTGACAGAGAAGGTCTCACTGATCAGATAATATTTGTGACCTTAATGGAAAAAATGGATTCAACCCTTGGAAGATTGGCGGAAGGATTTTCCACACTGAGCTCTCAGCCGTGAAGGCACAAAGGTGGAAACATTCTTAGTTCAAGGAAGAGGCTCTGCCTCAAATGCTGGGAATGAGATGGGGAGAATGACAAGACAACTGTAGAGAGATGGAGAGCACACTGGGTACACAGGAAACTAAGGAGGAACAAGGAGCATGTTTTTGATACTCACAGCCCTTGGATTCAACTCAGAGCTAACTAGGAATCCCTACCTGATTAACAGTGACCGACATGAAAATAAGGGAGGCCCAGGTGCGTAACTGGAATCTAGGAGACCGTGGAAAAGGCAATTCCCGCCCCACTGGTGAAACGTAGGGTTGATTTACACACTAAATGAATGAAAGATGGATATAAGCTATGCTTGTGAGGTAGAATCATTTGCAGGGAGGGCTTGCTGGGTTTGATTTTTCCTAGTAGTTTAATCCTTGTTTCATTAATTTCTTTCTGAGATGTGTTTTTTTTCTACATCTAAATCAATACCTGGCAGAGGAGCGATAGACACATGAGGGGTGGTGCAAATGAAGGGACCTAGTATAATATAATATACAAGACTGTGGATGGGGGCTCACACCTGTAACCCAACACTTTGGGAGGCCAAGGCGGGTAGATCACTTAAGGGTAGGAGTTTGAGACCAGCCTGGCCAACATGGTGAAACCCCGTCTGTACTAAAAATACAAAAATTAGCCTGGTGCATTGGCACCTGCCTGTAATCCCAGCGACTGGGGAGGCTGAAGCAGAAGAATGGCTTCAACCCTGGAGGCAGAGGTTGAACTGAGATCGCATCACTGCACTCCAGCCTGACACAGGGGGACTCTGTCTCAAAAAATAAAAATAAAACATACATAATTATGACACACAGAAATTACAAAGGCAACTGGATACCAACCATCATTTTTCTATTTCTCTGTGTTTAATTCTTTGACCCTTTATCTTATCCATTAAACAATCAGGTTAAACCTCTTCCTTATTTGGCTTTCTGTGAGCTTGGGATCATATGGAAAATGTGAAAGCCTCCTGAACCCACCAGCACAGGTCCTGGAATAGAGAACGTGCTCTGTTCATGGCATAAAACTTGCCCCTTCACCCAAATCCCCCAATTCATCTCTACTTCCAATCACCTATGGAGATACAGATAGATCATGGGGAGGTAAACACTAATACTCTTTGGAGTGAGCTCAGATCTTGGACTCAGAGACCAGTGCCAGCACTAGCCCCTGGTCACATTTCGTACTAACTCACAGAAGGACAGGCTGTATTGAAACAATAAACGACGGAGAGGGCGGTCCTTCCCCGTGCTTCTCGGGTGGAATAGCAGCCTAATATATGTCTCAGCAGATCACAAAAAGTAGCATGTTGTTCCTGGGCTACATCATTATTTCATGGCTGTTTGATTTAAGTCAGTTCTACTTCACTTTTTTTATCTTGATTTCATTTTTTCTTTCTTTTCTTGGAGAATGTAATTTTTTTTGAGTCAAGAGGGTTGTGGTGGTAGAAACTGTAAAGCACATTCGCTGTGTATCAATCCCAATCCAGTCTTCCCAGAGAAGATTCTAAACACCTCCTGGAATGCACCTGGGCCTATACCAATTCCTATCACTCACCGTCACTCCAGGGAGACAGAACACACAGAGAACACATTACACAGGCAGGTTCATTACTAACAGATAAGCAGCGAGTGACAACAGAAACCTACATTTCAATGTGAGCCAGTCCCTCAAGGCTCAGAAAAGCTGCTCGAGACATGTGGAGTCACCCCATATGCAGTGTATCTGGGGGAAATCAAAAAGCAGCCCAGCCTGGGTTTTGTACCCTGGAGCCACAGGAAGCACTCAGCTAAAGCACTGCATGACGTCCTCCTCCAGGAAGAACAGGAAGACAGCCCAGGCTGTTCTGGGATGTTCCTCCTGATCTCAGGACGTTGCTGTCTTAGTCCATTTTTGTTGCTCTAAAGGAACACTTGAGCCTGGGTAACTTCTAAAGAAAAGAAATGTGTTTGCCTCACAGTTCTGCAGGCTGTACTGGAAGCATGGCACCAGCATCTATTTCTTGTGACGGCCTCAGGCTGCTCCCACTCTGGCAGAAGGGAAGGAGGGTCTGTCTGTGCAGAGACCACAGAGATCACACGGCAAGAGAGGGACCAAGGGGGAGGGGGAGCGATGGAGCTTCCAAGCTCTTTTAACAACCAGTTCTCCAGGAACTAATAGAGGGGGAACTTGCTAACCCCGTCTCCTTGGAACAGCATTGATCTGTTCATGATGGATCCACCTCCATGACCCAAACAACTCCCAAGAGGCCCAACCTCCCACCCTGGGGGTTACATTTCAATGTGAGGTTTGAAGGGGTCAAACATCTAAACTAAAGCAGTTGTATCCTCAGCACGTTCTATGGTTACTACAACTGAGAAAGCAGGAGGAAGCTAGGTCTCCCGCCATCTGGGTGCTTGTCCTAAAGAGACGTTGTATGTGGTTACCTGTCAATCAAGAAATGTGAGACAATTCATATAGAGGAACTGCTATGATTAGCTTCTTATTGGTGTCTTGTCTTCCTCCAGGTAACTCCAGACACCTGCACGTTCTGATTGGGACCTCAGTGGTCATCATCCCCTTTGCTATCCTCCTCTTCTTTCTCCTTCATCGCTGGTGTGCCAACAAAAAGAGTAAGTCTCACGAAGCAGAAGCCAGAGAGCTCAGGGCCATGTGGGGAAGCAGGATGGGAGCACTCAGGTGTGTGTTCCTCACAGGCAGGATGGTCCCTGGCCCAAGGCAGGAGCCACAGAGGCAGGACTTTCTAGAGAGAGCACCAGACTCCCTGCCTCTGCCTTCAGCTCACAGACCATTGCCTGATTCTGAACCGTATCCTCACATCCCCTGCAGCCACTCACATCCAGGAGAAGGTTCCATGACAGGCAGAAAGTGGGACACAGAATCAATAGGATGGGAACTCAGAGCTATACATGGGATGGATCCTTGAGCTCAGAGAGATAGAATGTCTGAGTCTGCTGTTGGCAACTGAGGGACCTCAGGCACCTATGGCCTCCCCCTGTATGTTGGTATCTGCTTATGAAATGAGGACCCAGAAGTGCCCTCCGAGCTGTTTTGACGACTTCCGTCTTCTACAGATGCTGTTGTAATGGACCAAGAGCCTGCAGGGAACAGAACAGTGAACAGGGAGGTAGGTGCTCCTCCGCCCAGCCTCGTGGCTAGTCTTATTCCCAAAGAGTCCTGGAAAATGTGAGCACCCTCCCTCACTCAGCATTTCCCTCCCTCCAGGACTCTGATGAACAAGACCCTCAGGAGGTGACATACGCACAGTTGAATCACTGCGTTTTCACACAGAGAAAAATCACTCGCCCTTCTCAGAGGCCCAAGACACCCCCAACAGATACCAGCGTGTAACACGGAACTTCCAAATGCTGAGCGCAGATCCAAAGTTGTCTTCTGTCCACTAGCACCACAGTCAGGCCTTGATGGGATCTTCTAGGGAGACAATAGCCCTGTCTCAAAACCGGGTTGCCAGCTCCCATGTACCAGCAGCTGGACTCTGAAGGCGTGAGTCTGCATCTTAGGGCATCGCTCTTCCTCACACCACGAATCTGAACATGCCTCTCTCTTGCTTACAAATGTCTAAGGTCCCCACTGCCTGCTGGAGAGAAAACACACTTGCTTAGCCCACAATTCTCCATTTCACTTGACCCCTGCCCACCTCTCCAACCTAACTGGCTTACTTCCTAGTCTACTTGAGGCTGCGATCACACTGAGGAACTCACAATTCCAAACATATAAGAGGCTCCCTCTTAACACGGCACTTAGATACGTGCTATTCCACCTTTCCTCAGAGTATCTTTCAGCCTTCTGTCAGCAGTAAAACTTATAAATTTTTTTTATAATTTCAATGTAGTTTTCTCTTCTTCAAGTAAACATGTCTGCCCTCATGGTTTCGTCAATGGGACTCTTTTCTTGCCTAAGGCTTCCGGTGTTATCATTACCACGTCCACATAACCCCATCTGTTCTCCGCTGGGTTCTCACCCCTGGACTCTGAGCTTCTGGAAGCAGGGTGGAGCCTGAATTGTCTCTGAGACTCCAATTTCCATCCAAAGATGCAGCACATAGGAGGTTCCAAGGATGGTGAATCAGATGAACAAGTGATATTCTTACTCTCTGCAGATCTGGAAAGCTGGCAGAGTCATTCCACGATGAAACATTTGTAGAGTCATAGGCCTTGTTAGTCTCATCTCCACAGGGACACGTATCAACACATCATCTTTCATACTACTATAAATAGACAGTCACTCCTCCATATCTCTGGGGTTTACACATGTTTATTGAATCAGCAATAAATCAAAAATATTTTGAGAAAAAAAATCCCCGAAGTTTCAAAAAGCAAAAAACTATGTTGAATCGACACAAATTGAGTGGCGTGTAGGCTGTGTCAGGAATTATAAGTAATCAAGAGATGATTTCATGTATACAGGAGGATGTGCATGGGTTCTATGCAATTGCTATGCTATTTTTTTTTTTTTGAGACAGTCTCACTCTCTCACCCAGGCTGGAGTGCAGTGGCGTGATCTCAACTCACTGCAACCTCCGCCTTCCAGGTTCAAGCGATTCTCTTCCCTCAGCCTCCCCAGTAGCCTCCCCTAGGATTACAGGCACGTGCCACCCTGCACAGATAAATTTTTTTGTGTGTATATTTTTAGTAGAGATGGGGTTTCAGAATGTTGGACCAGCTGGTCTTGAACTCCTGACCTTGTGATCTACCCAGCTCAGCCTCCCAAAGTGCTGGGATTACAGGCGTGAGCCACGGTGCCCAGCTTCACTATGCCATTTCATGCAAGGGGCTTGAGCATCTGCAGATTTTGGTATCTGAATGGGGATCCTGGAACCAATCACCCAGGTATAGTGAAGGACCATGGTATATAATTTTTATTTGTCAATCTTAAAAATAAAGCATAAAAAATTTACAACAACAAGATAAAAAATAAGAAGTGTTTTTATAGTGTGAGGATAAGTTTAGATTTATTTTTTCCTACGTGTAACCCTATGGTCCTGTGTTATTTGTTGAGAAAATATTCTATTCCACCTTAAACTACATGGCAGCCTTTGTCAACTATAAAGGGACTGTGTATCCACAGATGTATTTTAGACACAGTTTTCTGTCCAGTGGTTCTCTGTATCCCCTCTCATGAGGATGCTGCATTTTATATAAACTTATAGAACCCCTTAAAATTTGGTAACCTGAGTCCTCTGATTTGTTATTATAGGTTATTTAGTTTGCTTTTTTTTTTTTTCTTGAGACAGACTCTTCCTCTGTCACCCAAGCTGGAGTTCAGTGGCTTGAGCTCAGCTCACTGCAACCTCCGTCTCCCAGGTTCAAGCTATTCTGATGCCTCTGGTTTAGTAGTAGAAACTCAAGCAGGAAAATTAGAATGGCTTCTTGTCACAATTACTCTGATAATGTTAATAATACCTGTTAGACATTTTGCACATTACATATGAAGAAGAGTTTGAATCTCAGATAAAAACAAAAATACATCAAAAATCTTTAATGTAAGCACAGAATTCAATCATCTCGTGTATGAGAGGTTGGATCTGAGACGTCTTTTGAGTCTGGTCGTAGTGAAGGACGCAAGGTGTCAATTCTAGTGAGAACAATTTCCAGGAAGCCATGTTCCGCTCTTGAGCGAGCACCCACTGGGCCTCATGCAAGGTAGAAAGAGCCTGCGTACGTCACCCTCCCATGATGTGGTCAACATGTAAACTGCATGGGCAGGGCGCCAAATAACATCCTGTGCGCTGCTGAGCTGAGCTGGGGCGCGGCCGCCTGTCTGCACAGACAGCACCATGTCGCTCATGGTCGTCAGCATGGTGTGTGTTGGTGAGTCCTGGAAGGGCATCGAGGGAGGGAGTGCGGGGATGGAGATCGGGGCCCAGAGTTGGAGATATAGGCCTGGAAGTGGAGTTATGGGCCTAGAGATGGAGTGATGGGCCTAGAAGTGGAGATCTGGGCCTGGAGTGGAGATCTGGGCCTGGAGTGGAGATATGGGCCTGGAGGTTGAGATATGGGCCTGCAGTAGAGATATGGGCTTGTAGTGGAGACATGGGCCTGGAGATGGAGATATGGGCCTGGAGATGGAGATATGGGCCTGCAGTAGAGATAGGGGCCTGGAGTGGAGATATGGGCCTGGAGTGGAGATATGGGCCTGGAGGTGGAGATATGGGCCTGGAGGTGGAGATATGGGCCTGGAGTGGAGATATGGGTCTGGAGGTGGAGATACGGGCCTGCAGTAGAGATATGGGCCTGGAGTGGAGATATGGGCCAGGAGTGGAGTTATGGGCCTAGAGATGGATATCTGGGCCTGGAGTGGAGATATGGGCCTAGGAAGGAGATATGGGCCTGGGTGTGGAGATATGGGACTGGAGAGGTGATATGGGCCTGGAGTGGAGATATGGGCTTAGGGTGGAGATCTGGGCCTGGGGCGGAGATATGGGACTGGATTGGAGATAGGGGCCTAGGGTGGAGATCTGAGCCTGGATTGGCGATATGGGCCTAGGGTGGAAATATCAGCCTGGAGTGGAGATATGGGCTTGGGGTGGGGATATGGGCCTGGAAACTGGGTCTCTGCACAGCCGACAGCCCTGTTCTTGGGTGCAGGTAGGCACTGAGGGTGAGTTTAACTTCAGCCCAGGAAGGGCCTGGCTGCCAAGACTCACAGCCCAGTGGGGGCAGCAAGGGAGGCCTGGTTTGCCTGCAGATGGATGGTCCATCATGATCTTTCTTTCCAGGGTTCTTCTTGCTGCAGGGGGCCTGGCCACATGAGGGTGAGTCCTTCTCCAAACCTTCGGGTGTCATCTCCCCACATAAGAGGATTTTCCTGAAACAGGAGGGAAGTCCTGTCGGGGAGTCTCTCATAAACTAGGAAGAGAGGACCCTGGGGTGCTCAGCCCACATTTCTGACCTCGCCTCCCTGGCCTCTCAACCCCTTGGCAGAGTCAAGTTCTGTGGGGACCAGGGTTAGACTGGGGTGCTCAAAGCTGGGGTGTGTGGTTGGGAAGTGGTAGGAACAGCAGATCCTCTGAGGACAAAGGTGTTACTCACACACTTCAGCGTTTCCATGATGGTAGGGGCTGCAGTGTGGCTGCTGTCATTCTACCAGAAGAGGTGGGAAACCACAGCCATGGCCCTGACATTCCAAATCCTCTGATGGGGGCTCAGTTGTTTATTTTCGTTCAGGCATCCGCTGATATCCATTCACAAAGGACATGCCCTCCACCTCATGTCTACCCTGTGTTGTTTTATGTGAGTAATCTTACAGTATTAAAATCTAGTAGGAGTCTCTTTACTCAGCACTTGCTCAAAGTTCTCAGCTGAGGCTTTTGTTGTAGGGAGACACCATGTCTTTGCGGGATGGGTCCTTCCTTCAGCCCTGGGCACCAAGGTGTGATAGTAGCCATAGAAACGTGGAAAGCGAGGAGAATCTTCTGAGCACAGGGAGGGAAGGGCAGTTCCACATCCTCCTCTCTAAGGCGGCGCCTCCTTCTCCCCAAGGTGGTCAGGACAAGCCCTTGCTGTCTGCCTGGCCCAGCCTTGTGGTGCCTCTAGGACATGTCATTCTTCGGTGTCACTCTTATCTTGGGTTTAACAACTTCAGTCTGTAAAAGGAAGGTGGGGTGCCTGTCCCTGAGCTCTACAACAGAATATTCTGGAACAGCCTTTTCATGGGCCCTGTGACCCCCGCACACACAGGGACATACAGATGTCGGGGTTCACACACACACTCCCCCAGTGGGTGGTCAGCACCCAGCAACCCCCTGGTGATCGTGGTCATAGGTCAGAGGGCTCCTGTCTTGGATTCTCCTTGTCCCACCTCCTGAATCCCAGAGCTTCTGTTGGGCATGTCCTTGAGGGTCCCATCACGCAGGCCCTGACTGTATTTGTGGTAAAGGGGGATTGAATACAGGGAAATGGGTGCTGTGGTGGGAAGAATAATTGTCCCCAGTGATGACTACATTCTAATCCCTGGAGTCTGTGACTATTTATGTTATAGGGGAAGGGACTGAAGGGGAAGATGGAGCTCATGGGGAGACAGCCTGGACTGTCCCACTGGGCTCAGTGTAATCACAAGGGTGCACATGAAAGGAGGAGGAAGAGGGGAGTGGGGATTAGAGCAGTCCAGTGGAAGTCTTCACCAGCTTTGAAGGTGGAGGAAGGCCAAGATCCATGAATGCAGGTGGCCTATAGAGGCTGGAAAAGTCAAGGAACTGATTCTCCAGAGTCTCCAGAGGGAACAAAGCCCTGCAGATGCCTTGATTTTAGCCCAGGAAAAATAGGGTCCAATTTCTGTCTCCAGTACTGGAAGGTGTCAGTGTGGTCTCTCCTGCTGCCATGCTTCTGATAATTTTCTACAGCAGCAACAGGAAACCAACACTGGAACCCAGGTCAAGGACAAGTTAAGAAACAACCCAAGGAAAGCCAGGCATGGTGGCAGGTGCATGTAATCCTAGCGACTCAGGAGGCTGAGGGCAGGAGAATCACTTGAACCCAGGAGACAGAGGTTGCAGTGAGCCTAGACCACACCACTTCACTCCAGCCTGGGTGAAGGAGTGAGACTCTGTCTCCATAATTAATTAATTAATTAAAGAAACCAAACAAGGAGAAGGTTGGCTACCCTGAGATCAGCAAGGGTGGGATGATGATGCCACCACCAGGCTCCATCCACATAGGGAGGGGTTGATACTCCTCCAACCAGCACCAGGAGCCAGCCTATGGAAGCTGGCACCATGGAGAAGGCACAGGCATGGCAAGAGTGGCTCCCAGTCCCCACCAGGAACAGGGTGTGTGGACACTGGTGCCTGCCTTATTCATCAGTTCATACCTTCTGCCAAGGATTGCAATTCATCCAAAAGAGATTGAACCAGGCTGATAAGAGCCTGGATGTGCAGCCTATCCTGGTTCCTCTTTCACCCCCACATAAACAGCAGGAAATACATTAGTGTGAAATAGATACAACACCCCAAGAGATGAGGCTCAGCCCAGTGGGAAGGGAATCAGAGGCTACTAGAGACAGAGGGACAGAGAAGAGGGAGGGAGACAGATGGAAGGACCTGCACCAGGAGTTAAGGGCACAGAAAAGAACATGAAGACACAGAGAGGAAGGAGAGAGACAGACACCAGCAAGGGGAAGCCTCACTCATTCTAGGTGCCATGGATGGGATGATAAAGAGAGACACCTTCTAAACTCACAACCTCTCTTCCTAGGAGTCCACAGAAAACCTTCCCTCCTGGCCCACCCAGGTCCCCTGGTGAAATCAGAAGAGACAGTCATCCTGCAATGTTGGTCAGATGTCAGGTTTCAGCACTTCCTTCTGCACAGAGAAGGGAAGTTTAAGGACACTTTGCACCTCATTGGAGAGCACCATGATGGGGTCTCCAAGGCCAACTTCTCCATCGGTCCCATGATGCAAGACCTTGCAGGGACCTACAGATGCTACGGTTCTGTTACTCACTCCCCCTATCAGTTGTCAGCTCCCAGTGACCCTCTGGACATCGTCATCACAGGTGAGAGTGTCCGGACATTCTCATTGTCATTGGGATGCAGAGTGAATGATCCACGACTTGGAACCCCCAGGTAGTTGTAAGGAAGATGAGCTTGGTATTCTTATGGAGAGAGACTGACTTGCTGAGGTTTGTACCAACAGAGACAGAGAAACAGGAGACACAAGTACAGACCAGGTGTCATAACAGAGGACAGACACAGGGGCCATACAGGGAGTTAGAAAAGACAGAAAGAGTTAAAAGAGACAGACAGACAGACATGTCCCAGAGAGAGGTGTCCCTCCATGCTGACTTTGCTCACAGACCTGGCACAGGTTAGAAGTTTCATTTCTGTTTTACCTCCACAAAGTGTTCTCTACCAGGAGAACCCAAGGACACCCATATTTATGACCTGAGTTGGGCCCTGTGGCCTCAGGCCTTGTGGCACCTACAGGCCATGTTTATTCTGACACCTCTGCCTTCCATGTAATGGAGAGTAATCGTCCCAGGATATCATGGCCCCAGAACACCAACCCCTGTATGCTGTGTGAACTTGTGGTCTCCAGACTGGATTCTGTGGCTCACATTCCAAATAACCCCACATATGAAAGGATCACTGAGAGGCACAGAGAAAAATCAGGAACACCAAAAAGCAAAGACATAAACACACAGAGAATGAGCCAGAGGAAGGAGATTGAGAGACTCACAGACACATAAAGAGAGAGAAAAGAGGGCAGAGGAGTGGTGAGAATGATGGCAGGGAGCAGAGAAAAGCACTAAAATTAGAGTCCTGAGAGAGAGGCACAAGGACATAGAAACATGGAGATGTGGGGATGAATTGCAGAGATTCCAAAGAGAACTAGAGAGACCGAGAGGCAGAGCAAGACAGATGATAGATGGATAGATATAGATAGATGATAAATAGGTAGATGATAGATAATAGGTTAAAGATACATAGATGATGATTGATTGATTCATTAATAGATAATACATAGAGATGATGATGATGAAGACAGATAATACGTACAGATAGAGAGGCAGACAGAAATCATAGAGAGAGAGATGATACATACATATAAATAACAGATGATTGATGGATAGATAGACAAGTGATAGATACATAGATGATATATAGATATAGATGACAGGTAGAGAATTTGTAGATAGGCACCGAATAGATAAATAGATAGATCGACAGATAATAGATAGAAATATGCAGAAAGTTATGAACAGGACACAACGTGAGAAACTTAGAATTTAAAAAAGTAACATCAAGTCAACCAATCCAAGGAGAGTCAGAGAGAATAAAAGAATCCAAAAAGGGAAAACATATCTAGAGGTGGGGAAGCGAGGTCAGAGACCTAGAGAGACAGAGAAGGTGGAAGAAGGAAATAGACATGAAGAGAGATGGGGTGGAGGGTGAGAGAGAGAGAGAGAGAGAGCATTAGGTCATAGAGCAGGGGAGTGAGTTCTCAGCTCAGGTGAAGGGAGCTGTGACAAGGAAGATCCTCCGTAAGGAAAATGCCTCTTCTCCTCCAGGTCTATATGAGAAACCTTCTCTCTCAGCCCAGCCGGGCCCCACGGTTCTGGCAGGAGAGAGCGTGACCTTGTCCTGCAGCTCCCGGAGCTCCTATGACATGTACCATCTATCCAGGGAGGGGGAGGCCCATGAACGTAGGTTCTCTGCAGGGCCCAAGGTCAACGGAACATTCCAGGCCGACTTTCCTCTGGGCCCTGCCACCCACGGAGGAACCTACAGATGCTTCGGCTCTTTCCGTGACTCTCCATACGAGTGGTCAAACTCGAGTGACCCACTGCTTGTTTCTGTCACAGGTGAGGAAACCCCATATCTGTCTCATGTCCTATGATCCTAGAGCCTTAGCTGAGGAGCTTCCTGCTGATGATGGAGAGAAGCATGGACAGATGCAGAGAGAAGACGAAGCTTGGGTGTGAGGGAGGGATCAGGGCACAGGATGGCAGACAGGGCACCTCCAAACCCTCCTACACGGCCTGCATGAAGGCCCGCGGCCAGGGCTCCAGGCACACAGGCAGATGGAGAAAACGGTCAGGAGAGACCCAGAGGAGAGAGACTGGGCTCAGTTTGGGAAGATCAGAGGTTCCCTCAGCCCCTCAACATTACCCATTTCCCAGAAGCCCATCCTGGCCTCTCACCCACACAGGGATGTCATCACCAGCAACCCCTACACCCTTTACTTTTGTTTGAAGAAATATTTATTGAGGATAAATATACCTATATAGCTTACCACCTTTAACATTTTTTTTTTTTTTGAGGCAGAGTCTAGCTCTGTCCCCTATGCTGGAGTGCAGTGGCACAATCTCAGCTCACTGCAACTTCCGCCTCCTGGGTTCAAGTGATTCTCCTGCTTCAGCCACCTGAGTAGCTGGTGCTACAGGCGCGCACCACCACGCCAGGCTACTTTTTGTATTTTTAGTAGAGAGGGGGTTTCACCATGTTGGTCGAGCTGGTCTCCAACTCCTGACCACGTGATCCACCCGCATCTGCCTCCCAAAGTGCTGGGATTACAGGCATGAGCCACCACGCCCAGCCACATTTACCATTTTTAAGTGTAAAGTCTAGTGGTCATAAATACATTTATATATATATATATATATATATATATACACACACACACACATATATAAACATATATATATATATATATATATATATATATATTTTTTTTTTTTTTTTTTTTTTTACCCTCCACCCTTTTATTCCTGGCCTCTGGAAGCCACCATTCTACTCTCTACCTTCATGAGATCCACCTTTTAGCTCTGTATATGGGTGAGAAATGGGAATCTTTGTAATGACTTCCAGTTCCATCCATGTGGCTGCAAATATCAGGATGTTATTCTTTCTATGGATGAGTAGTCTCCACTGTGCGTATGTACTACATTCTCTCTATCCATTCATCCACTGATGGGCAGGTAGGTTGACTCCACATCTTGGCTACTGTGAACAGTGCTGCACCAATCATACGAGTGCAGATATCACTTCGATATATTGATTTACTTTCCTTTGGATATAAACCCAGTAGTGAAATTGCTGGATACTATGAAAGTTCTCTTTTTAGTTATTCGTTTGTTGTTTTGTTTTTGTTTTTGAGACAGTTTCCCTCTGTGCCCAGGCTGGAGTACAAGTGAAGTCATCTTGGCTCATTGCAACCTCCGCCTCCTGGGTTCAAATGATTTTCCTGCCTCAGCCTCCCTAGTAGCTGGGATTACAGGTGCACGCCACCATGCCTGGCTACTTTTTGTTTTTTTTAGTATAGATGGGGTTTCCCCATGTTGGCTGGGCTGCTCTCAAACTCATGACCTCAACTGAGGTGCCCGCCTCGGTCTCCCAAAGTGCCGGGATTACAGGCATGATCCACCTCACCCAACCTCTTTTTAGTTCTTTAAAGGACTTCCACACTTTTCTCCGTAAAGGCTGTACTAATTTACACTCCTACCAACAGGGTATTAGGGTTCTCCTTTCTCTACCACTTTGGCAGGATTTCCTTTGCCTGTCTTGCAGCTAAAAGCCATTTTATTTTATTTCATTTTATTTTGAGATGGAGTTTCGCTCTTGTCACCCAGGCTGGAGTGCAGTGGTGCGATCTCGGCTCACCACAACCTCCACCTCCCAGGTTCAAGCGATTCTCCTGCCTCAGCCTCCCGAGTAGCTGGAATTACAGGCACACGCCACCACGCCCAACTAAATTTTGTATTTTTAGTAGAGACAGTGTTTCTTCATGTGGGTCAGACTGGTCTCAAACTCCCGACCTTATGAGGTTCACCCACCTCAGGCTCTCAAAGGTCTAGGATGACAGACGTGAGCCACCACGCCCGGCCTAAAATCCATTTTAATGGGGTGAGATGAAAACTCACTTTGATTTTAATTTGTGTTTCTCTGATGATGAGTGAAACTGAGCACTTTTTAGTATGTGGGGAAATTTCATGTGTTTTGCTCCTTTTTCAATTAAATCGTTTGTTTTATTGAGTTGTTTGAGCTTCTTATATTTCTAGTTATTAATCCCATCTCAGATGCATAGTTTGCACATATTTGCTCCCAATCTGTGGGTTGTCTCTTCACTTTGTTGGTTTATTTTTAGCGGTGCAGAAGTTGCTTAGTTTGAGGTAATCCCAATGGTCTATTTTTGCTTCGATTACTTGTGTTTTGAAGGTTTAAAACAAAATGTCTTCCTTCAGACAAATGTCCTGGAGCATTTCCCCAATATTTTCTTCTACGTGTTTCATAGGTTCAGGCCTTAGACTCACATCTTTAATCCATTTTCATTTGAGTTTTGTGTATAGTGACAGGTAGAGGTGCAGTTTCATTCCTCTGCATGTAGATGTCCAGGTTTCCCTGCACTGTTTATTGAAAAGACTGTCCTTTCCTGATTGTGAGTTCTTGGCACCTTTGTCAAAGTCCATTGGATGGGCTGGGCATGGTGGCTGACACCTGCAATTTCAGCACTTTGGGAGCCCAAGGCGGGTGGATCACCTGAGGCCAGGAGTTCAAGATTAGTCTGGCCGACGTGATGAAACATTGTCTCCACTAAAAATATAAAAATTAGCTGAGCATGGTGGTCAGCACCTGTAATACCACTACTCAGGAGTTTGAGGCCAGAGAATTGATTGAACCCAGGAGGCTGTGGTGGCAGTGAACCGAGATTGCACCTCTGCACTCCAGCCTGGGTGACAGAGCGAGACTCCATCTCAAAAGAAAAAAGAAAAAAACATTGGAGGTAAATGCATGGATTATATCTGTGTTCTTCATTCTGCTCCATTGTTCTACGTGCCTTTCTTTATGCCAATGTGATGCTGTTTTGCTTACTACAGCTCTGTAACATATTTTGAGATCAGGTAGTGTGATGCTCCTGTTTTCTCTTTATATCTTGAAGTCTCAAGACAGTGGGCGTCACATACAAAAATTACGGAAAAAAGGATCCCAGGACTCCCAGGGCCCAATATTAGATAACAGAGTGTTGGCCATGAACCAACCTCAAAGATTTCCATTGAGTAGAGGACAGACACCCTCATTTCCTCACCTCTCTCCTGTCTCGTGTTCTAGGAAACCCTTCAAATAGTTGGCCTTCACCCACTGAACCAAGCTCCGAAACCGGTGAGTACAGAACCCTCTTATATCCGCTTTTGGAAACCTGGGGAGGTAGAAACCTTCGATGCAGGCATTGACTCAGCATCTCGCAGCTCTGACATTGTACGCCTGTCTTCTACCATCTCCGAACTCCAGATACTCCAACAGCGAAAGGGATCTGGGCCCAACCTAGGGCTCAGTGAAATCTCTTAATCTCTCATTTTATGGAGCTGAGACCTCCTACAAGCTAGAAGAATGATTGCCAATCTGACATCCTTCTCAGGAAAAATGCAATGTTTGTTCTGCCTGCATTCCTAACTGGAGGATAAATTCCTGGGGGCTTGAGAGAGGGAAGGGAAGGGAACATCTGATGAGGGCGAGGTGTTTTAGAGAAGTTCCACTTGCCAAGGAATGAATTACTGTTGGTCATGAAGCAACCCTGGCTGACTCAGCAGAGCAACAGCCTTGCCGTAACAGAGAACGGAGCTCATGCACGCACACTTCGACTCACTGACTCATTCAGCCACGGCCCCATGCTCAGGCTGTGCAGTGCGGAACCTTTTCCTATTGTTGCCATAACAAATTTCCACAAGATTCGTGGGTGAAAACAAAACGGTTTTTTAATTATCTTACAGTGCTGTAGCTCAAAGTAGGAAGTGCATCTTACTGGGCTAAAATCAAGGTGACAGCAAGGCTGCCTTCCCTCTGAGGATTCCAGGCAAGAATCTGCTTCTCACTTATCCCAGCTTCTAAAGGCTCCCAGTTCCTTGGCTCCTGTTCCCCTTCCTCCTTCCTCAAAGCCCACAAAGACTGGTCACATCTCACATGGCATCACTCAGTGCCTTCTTCCTTACCACACCTCTTTCTCTGAATGCTGCTCTCCCTTCTTCCTTATCTTTTGAAAACTTGGGGATTCTATTGGGTTCACCAAGATGAAAATCCCTCATAATCTCCTGGAAATCATCCAGGATACCCTTGTTTTAAGTTCAGCTGATTAGCAACCGCAATTCCATCTACAATCTTCATTCCTCCTTTCCATGTAAAATAACATATTCACAAGCTATGGAGGCTAGGACAGGGACATTTTGGGGTGGGACAGCATTCTCCTGCCTTCCACAAACGGTGAACAAGATGCATTTGGCTTCTGCCCTTGGGACACTGATATTGCAGATGGTTAAATGGGAGGGCAGAAAATGAATGCACAAGTGGATCTATAAATGAATGATCCATTGGGAAGCATCTGTGCATGAAATCTATTTTTTGTTTGTTCTTTTGTTTATTGAGACAGAGTCGCCCTCTGTCTTCCAGGCTACAGTGCAGTGTCACGATCTTGGCTCACTGCAACCTGCGTCTCCTGGATTCAAGTGATTCTCCTGCCTCCGCCTCTCGAGTAGCTGGGATTACAGGCAACTGCCACCGTGCCCGGCTAATTCTTTTTGTATATTTTTTGTAGAGAGGATGTTTCACCACGTTGGCCAAGCTTGTCTGAAACTCCCAACCTCAAGTGATCCGACCGTCTCAGCATGCCAAAGTAATGGGACTACAGGCGTGAGCCACTGTGCCCAGCCAGAATTCAAAATCAATAATAGATAATGCTGAGTGTATGATTTCAGGTGACAAAGAAGGTCTCACTATTCAGATATTTGTGACATTAATGAAAAACACGGATTGAACCCCTGAAAGATTGGCGGAAGGATTTTGCACACACAGCTGTCAGCCGTGAAGGCACAAAGGTGAAAACAATCTGATGTGGAAGGAAGAGGCTCTGCCTCAAATGCTGGGAATGATGTGGGGAGAATGACAAGACGACTGTAGAGAGACGGAGAGCACACTGGGTACACAGGAAACTAAGGAGCAACAAGGAGTGTGTGTTTGACACTCACAGCCATTGGATTCACCTCGGGGTAACCAGGAATCCCTACATGATTAATATGACTGACATGAAAATAAGGGAGGCTCAGTTGCATAACTGGAATCTAGGAGACCGTGGAAAAGGCAATTGCCACCCCACTGGTGAAATGTGGTGCTGATTTAGACACTAAATGAATGAAGTAGATGGATATAAGATATGTTTGTGAGGTAGAATCATTGACTGGAAACGCTTACTGGGTTTGATTTTCCTACTTGTTTAATCCTCGCTTAATTAATTTCTTTCTGAGATTTATTCATCCTACACATAAATCAATACCTGGCAAAGGAGTGACAGATATATGAGTGGTGGTGGAAATGAAGAGACTTATTATAGCATAATATACAAGTCTGTGAACAGTGGCTCACGCCTGTAACCTAGCACTGCAGGAGGCCAAGGTGGGTGGATTCCATGAAGTCAGGAGTTCCAGACCAGCCTGGCCAACGTGGTGAAACCCTATCTCTACTAAAAATACAAAAATTAGCCGAGCACGATGGTGCATCCCTGTAATCCCAGCTCCTATTCTGGAGGATGAAGCAGGAGAATGACTTCAACCCAGTAGGTGGAGGTTGCAGTGAGTGGAGATTGCATCACTGCACTCCAGCCTGGGGGACACAAGGAGACTCTATCTCAAAAAATAAAAATAAGAAATACATAAATATAATAAAACACACACGAATGACAAAGGCACCTGAATTCCAATCATCGTTTTTCTATTTCTCTATAATTACTTCTTTGATCCTTTATCTTATCCATTAGGCAATGAGCTTAAAACCTCTTCCCTATTTGGCTTTCTGTGAGAATGAGATCACATAGAAAATGTGAAAGCCCTCAGAATCCTCCAGCACAGATCGTGGAATAGAGAAAGTGCTCTGTTCATCGCAACAAAAAACTTGCCCACTCACCCAAATCCCCCACCTCACCCCTACTTCCAATCACCTGTGGAGATTCAGATAGGCTATGGGGAGGTAAACATTGATACTCCTTGGAGTGAGTCCAGATCTTGGAATCAGAGATCAGTGCCAGCACTAGCTCCTGCTCCCCTTTCCTACTAATTCACAGGAGGACAGGTGGTATTGAAGCAATAGATGGCCGAGGGGGTGGTCCTTCCCCCAGCCTCTCGGGTAGAACAGCAGCCTAACATGTGTCTCCCGAGATCACAAAGAGTAGCACGTTTCACACGGGCTTCAACACTATTTCCTGGCCATTTGACATAAGAGAATTCTACTTAGCTTTTTTTATCTTGATTTCACTTTTGTTTCCTTTTCTTGGAGAATGCAAGTTGTTTGATTCAAGAATGCTGTGGATGTAGAAATCCTAAAGCACATTCGCTGTGTATCAATCCCAGTGCAGTCTTCCCAGAGAAGACTCTAAATACCTCCTGGACTGCACCTGGGCTTATGCCAATTCCTATCACTCACCGTCACTCCAGGGAGACAGAACACACAGAGAATACATTACACAGGCAGGTTCATTACTAACAGATAAGCAGCGAGTGACAACAGAAACCTACATTTCAATGTGAGCCAGTCCCTCAAGGCTCAGAAAAGCTACTCGGGACATATGGAGTCACCCCATTTGCAGTGTAGCTGGGGGAAGCCAGAGAGCAGCCCAGCCTGGGTTTTGTACTGTGGAGCCACAGGAAGCACTCAGCTAAAGCACTGCATGACGTCCTCCTCCAGGAAGAACAGGAAGACAGCCCAGGCTGTTCTGAGACGTTCCTCCTGATCTCAGGACGTTGCTGTCTTAGTCCATTTTTGTTGCTCTAAAGGAACACTTGAGCCTGGGTAACTTCTAGAGAAAAGAGATTGGTTTGCCTCACAGTTCTGCAGGCTGTACTGGAAGCGTGGCACCAGCATCTATTTCTCGTGACGGCCTCAGGCTGCTCCCACTCTGGCAGAAGGGAAGGAGGGTCTGTCTGTGCAGAGACCACAGAGATCACACGGCAAGAGAGGGAGCAAGGGGGAGGGGGAGCGATGGAGCTTCCAAGCTCTTTTGAACAACCAGCTCTCCAGGAACTAATAGAAGGGGAACTTGCTAACCCCGTCTCCTTGGGACAGCATTGGTCTGTTCATGATGGATCCACCTCCATGACCCAAACACCTCTCAAGAGGCCCAACCTCCCACAGTGGGGGGTGAAATTTCAATGTGAGGTTTGAAGGGGTCAAACATCTCAACTAAAGTAGTTGTATCCTCAACACGTTCTATGGTTACTATGAGAGCTATAACTGAGAAAGCAGGAGAAAGCTGGGTCTCCCTCCATCTGGGTGCTTGTCCTAAAGGGGTGTTGTATGTGGTTACCTGTCAATCAAGAAATGTGAGACAATTCATAAAGAGGAACTGCTATGATTAGCTTCTTATTGGTGTCTCCTCTTCTTCCAGGTAACCCCAGACACCTGCATGTTCTGATTGGGACCTCAGTGGTCATCATCCTCTTCATCCTCCTCCTCTTCTTTCTCCTTCATCGCTGGTGCTGCAACAAAAAAAGTAAGTCTCACGAAGCAGAGGCCAGAGAGCTCAGGGCCATGTGGGGAAGCAGGATGGGAGCACTCAGGTGTGTGTTCCTCACAGACAGGATGGTCCCTGGCCCAAGGCAGCAGCCACAGAGGGAGGACTTTCTAGAGAGAGCACCAGACTCCCTGTCCCTGCCTTCAGCTCACAGACCATTGCCTGATTCTGAACTGTATCCTCATGTCCCCTGCAGCCACTCACATCCAGGAGAAGGTTCCATGACAGGCAGAAAGTGGGAGACAGAATCAATGGGATGGGAACTCAGAGCTATTCATGGGATGGGTCCTTGAGCTCAGAGAGATAGAATGTCTGAGTCTGCTGTTGGCAACTGAGGGACCTCAGGCTCCTATGGTCTCCCCCTGTATGTTGGTATCTGCTTATGAAATGAGGGCCCAGAAGTGCCCTCTGAGCTGTTTTGTTGACTTCCGTCTTCTACAGATGCTGTTGTAATGGACCAAGAGCCTGCAGGGAACAGAACAGTGAACAGGGAGGTAGGTGCTCCTCGGCCCAGCCTCGTGGCTAGTGTTATTCCCAAAGAGTCCTGGAAAATGTGAGCACCCTCCCTCACTCAGCATTTCCCTCTCTCCAGGACTCTGATGAACAAGACCCTCAGGAGGTGACATATGCACAGTTGAATCACTGCGTTTTCACACAGAGAAAAATCACTCGCCCTTCTCAGAGGCCCAAGACACCCCCAACAGATATCATCGTGTACACGGAACTTCCAAATGCTGAGCCCTGATCCAAAGTTGTCTCCTGCCCATGAGCACCACAGTCAGGCCTTGAGGGGATCTTCTAGGGAGACAACAGCCCTGTCTCAAAACTGGGTTGCCAGCTCCAATGTACCAGCAGCTGGAATCTGAAGGCGTGAGTCTGCATCTTAGGGCATCGCTCTTCCTCACACCACAAATCTGAACGTGCCTCTCCCTTGCTTACAAATGTCTAAGGTCCCCACTGCCTGCTGGAGAGAAAACACACTCCTTTGCTTAGCCCACAATTCTCCATTTCACTTGACCCCTGCCCACCTCTCCAACCTAACTGGCTTACTTCCTAGTCTACTTGAGGCTGCAATCACACTGAGGAACTCACAATTCCAAACATACAAGAGGCTCCCTCTTAACACGGCACTTAGACACGTGCTGTTCCACCTTCCCTCATGCTGTTCCACCTCCCCTCAGACTAGCTTTCAGCCTTCTGTCAGCAGTAAAACTTATATATTTTTTAAAATAATTTCAATGTAGTTTTCCCTCCTTCAAATAAACATGTCTGCCCTCATGGTTTAGGTAATGGGACTCTTTTCTTGCCTAAGGCTTCCGGTGTTATCAGTACCATGTCCATATAATCCCATCTGTTCTCCACCGGGTTCTCACCTCTGGACTCTGAGCTTCTGGAAGCAGTGTGGAGCCTCATTTGTCTCTGGGACTCCAATTTCCATCCAAAGATGCAGCACATAGGAGGTTCCAAGGATCGGGAATCACATGAACAAGTGACATTGTTACTCTCTGCAGACCTGGAAAGCTGGCAGAGTCATTCCACGATGAAACATTTGTAGAGTCATAGGCCTTGTTAGTCTCATCTCCATGGGGACACATATCAACACATCATCTTTCATACTATAAATATACGGTCACTCCTCCGTATCTGTGGGGTTTACAGGTCTTTATTGAACAAAGTATAAATCAAAAATATTCAGAGAAAATATCCACAGAGTTCCAAAACTCATAACTATGTTGAATGGACACAAATGAAGCTGTGTGTAGGCTGTATCAGGAATTATAAGTAATCAAGAGATGATTTCATGTATACAGGAGGATGTGCATATGTTATTTGCAAGCGCTGTGCCATTTCATATAAGAGGCTTGAGCATCTACAGATTTTGGTATCTGAGTGGAGATCTCGAAACCAATCACCCACGAATAGTGAAGGATGACCGTATATGACTTTTATTTCTCAAATTTAAATATAAATCAAAAAAATGTACAACTAGATAAAAACTAAGAAGTGTTTTTATAGTGTGAGTTAGATTTATTTTTTACTAGGTGTAACCCATTGGTTTAATATTATTTATTGAGAAGACATTCTATGCCACCTTAAACCACACGGCAGCCTTTGTCAACTCTAAAGGGACTGTGTGTACATGGATGTATTTTAGACAGTTTCTGCTAAGGGGCTGTCTGTGTCCACACACTTGATGATGCTACACTTTATGTAGCCTTATAGAACCCTTTAAATTTAGTAGCCAGAGCCCTCTAATTTGTTATTATAGGCTATTTGCTTTTTTTTTTCTTGAGGCGGAGTCTTGCTCTGTCGCCCAGGCTGGACTGCAGTGACACAATCTCAGCTCACTGCAACCTCCGCCTCCCAGGTTCAAGCGATTCTCGTGCCTCAGCCTCTTGAGTAGCTGGCGTTACAGGTGCCTGCCACCAGGCATGGCTAATTTTTGGATTTTTAGCAGAGACACGGTTTCACTATGTTGGCCAGGCTGCTCTCAATCCCCTCATCTCAGTTGATCCGCCCACCTCGGCTTCCCGACGTGCTGGGGAAACTTGATTTTCTATAGCATTATGTTACTGGATATTTCTGTAAAATTTAAAATGAGGGAGGCAGAGAGACAGAGAGAGATCAAACTCCAGAGTTGGGACTCTGGAATCTTGGGTCATGAGACAAATTTTAGATTAAACTACAAAACTCCAGAATTTACAGGTGTGGTTTTTGCTGATAAAGTACAATTCTAAGATTGTAAATAATTGCATAATCCTTCCCTGGGAATTTAAATCATTTTAACTGGTTCTGCTGTAATACTAGAAATACAAGCATGAAAAATTCTAATGGTTTATTAGTCACAATGACTCTGAAAACCTTAATAATACCTATTAAATATTTTGCATATTACACATGAAGAAGAGTTTGAATCTCAGATAAAAACAATAAAAATACATGAAAAGTCTTTCACGTTAGCACAGATTTTAGGCATCTCGTGTTCAGGAGGTTGGATCTGAGACGTGTTTTGAGTTGGTCATAGTGAAGGACGCTAGGTGTAAATTCTAGTGAGAACAATTTCCAGGAAGCCGTGTTCCGCTCTTGAGCGAGCACCCACTGGGCCTCATGCAAGGTAGAATGAGCCTGCGTACGTCACCCTCCCATGATGTGGTCAACATGTAAACTGCATGGGCAGGGCGCCAAATAACATCCTGTGCGCTGCTGAGCTGAGCTGGGGCACGGCCGCCTGTCTGCACCGGCAGCACCATGTCGCTCACGGTCGTCAGCATGGCGTGTGTTGGTGAGTCCTGGAAGGGAATAGAGGAAGGGAGTGTGGGGTTGGAGATCTGGGCCCAGAGGTGGAGATATAGGCCTGGAGGTGGAGTTGTGGGCCTGGAGTGGAGATCTGGGCCTGGAGTGGATATATGGGCCTAGAGATGGAGTGATGGGCCTAGAAGTGGAGATCTGGGCCTGGAGTGCCGATAGGAACCTGGAGGGGAGATAGGAGCCTGGAGTGGAGATATGGGCCTGGAGGTGGAGTTATAGGCCTATAGTAGAGATATGGGCCTGGAGTGGAGATTTGGGCCAGGAGTGGAGATATGGGCCTAGAGGTGGATATCTGGGCCTAGAGTGGAAATATGGGCCTAGGATGGAGATATGGGCCTGGTTGTGGAGATATGGGACTGGAGAGGAGATATGGGCCTAGAGTGGAGATATGGGCTTGGGGTGGAGATCTGGGCCTGGGGTGGAGATATGGGCCTGGAGGTGGAGTTACGGGCCTTCAGTAGAGATATGGGCCTGGGGTGGAGATATGGGCTTGGGGTGGAGATCTGGGCCTGGAGTGGAGATATGGGCCTGGAGGTGGAGTTACTGGCCTTCAGTAGAGATATGGGCCTGGTGTGGAGATATGGGCCTGGATTGGAGATATGGGCCTAGGTTGGAGATCTGAGCCTGGAGTGGAGATATGGGCCTGGATTGGAGATATGGGCTTACAGTGGAGATCTTGGCCTGGATTGGCGATATGGGCCTGGATTGGCGATATGGGCCTATGATGGAAATATCGGCCTGGAGTGGAGATATGGGCCTGGAGTGGAGATACAGGCCTAGGGTGGAAATATTGGCCTGGAGTGGAGATATGGGCTTGTGGTGGGGATATGGGCTTGTGGTGGGGATCTGGGCTTGGAGGCTGGGTCTCTGCACAGCCGACAGCCCTGTTCTTGGGTGCAGGTAGGCACTGAGGGTGAGTTTAACTTCAGTCCAGGAAGGGCCTGCCTACCAAGACTCACAGCCCAGTGAGGGCAGCAAGGGAGGGCTGGTTTGCCTGCAGATGGATCGTCCATCATGATCTTTCTTTCCAGGGTTCTTCTTGCTGCAGGGGGCCTGGCCACATGAGGGTGAGTCCTTCTCCAAACCTTAGGGTGTCATCTCCCCACATAAGAGGATTTTCCTGAAACAGGAGGGAAGTCCTGTCAGGGAGCCTCTCATAAACTAGGAAGAGGGGACCCTGGGGTGCTCGGCCCACAGTTCCGACCTCGCCTCCCTGGCCTTTCATTCCCTTGGCAGAGTCAAGTTCTGTGGGGACCAGGGTTAGACTGGGGTGCTCAAAGCTGGGGTGCGTGGTGGGGAAGTGGTAGGAACAGCAGATCCTCTGAGGACAAAGGTGTTACTCACACTTCAGCGTTTCCATGACGGTAGGGGCTGCAGTGTGGCTGCTGTCACTCCACCAGAAGAGGTGGGAAACCACAGCCATGGCCCTGACATTCCAAATCCTCTGATGGGGGCTCAGTTGCTTATTTTCATTCAGGCATCTGCTGATATTCCATTCTCAAAGACATGCCCTCCACCCCATGTCTACCCTGTGTTGTTTTATGTGAGTAATCTTACAGTATTAAAATCTAGTAGGAGTCTCTTACTCAGCACTTGCTCAAAGTTCTCAGCTGACACTTTTGTTGTAGGGAGACACCTTGTGTTTGCGGGATGGGTCCTTCCTTTAGCCCTGGGCACCAAGGTGTGATAGCAGCCATAGAAACTTGGAAAGCGAGGAGAATCTTCAGAGCACAGGGAGGGAGGGGTGGCTCCACATCCTCCTCTCTAAGGCGGTGCCTCCTTCTCCCCAAGGTGGTCAGGACAAGCCCTTGCTGTCTGCCTGGCCCAGCTCTGTGGTGCCTCCAGGACATGTGATTCTTCGGTGTCATTCTTATCTTGGGTTTAACAACTTCAGTCTGTAAAAGGAAGATGGGGTGCCTGGCACTGAGCTCTACAACAGAATATTCTGGAAGAGCCTTTTCATGGGCCCTGTGACCCCAGCACACACAGGGACGTACAGATGTCGGGGTTCACACCCACACTACCCCAGTGGGTGGTCGGCACCCAGCAACACCCTGGTGATCATGGCCACAGGTCAGAGGGCTCCTGTCTTGGATTCTCCTTTCCCACCTCCTGAATCCCAGAGCTTCTGGTGGGCGTGTCCTTGAGGGTCCCATCACCCAGGCCCTGACTATATTTGGGGTAAAGGGGGATTGAATACAGGGAAATGGGTGCTGTGGTGGGAAGAATAATTGTCCCCAGTGATGACTACATTCTAATCCCTGGAGTCTGTGACTATTTATGTTATAGGGGAAGGAACTGAAGGGGAAGATGGAGCTCAGGTTGTTGATGAGTTGACCTTGAGATGGGGAGACAGCCTGGACTGTCCCGCTGGGCTCAGTGTAATCACAAGGGTCCACATGAAAGGAGGAGGAAGAGGGGAGTGGGGATTAGAGCAGCGCAATGGGAGACTCCACCAGCTTTGAAGGTGGAGGAAGGCCAGGAGCCATGAATGCAGGTGGCCTGTAGAGGTTGGAAAAGTCAAGGAAATGATTCTCCAGAGTCTCCAGAGGGAACGAAGCCCTGCAGATGCCTTGATTTTAGCCCAGGAAAAACAGGGTCCTATTTCTGTCTCCAGTAGTGAAATGGGTCAGTGTGCTCTCTCCTGCTGCCATGCTTCTGATAATTTTCTACAGCAGCAACAGGAAACCAACACTGGAACCCAGGTCAAGGACAAGGTAAGAAACAACACAAGGATAGCCGGGTGTGGTGGCAGGCGCATGTAATCCTAGCGACTTGGGAGGCTGAGGGCAGGAGAATCACTTGAACCCAGGAGACAGAGGTTGCAGTGACCCTAGACCACACCACTTCACTCCAGCTGGGGTGAAGGAGTGAGACTCTGTCTCCATAATTAATTAATTAATTAAAGGAACCAAACAAGGGGAAGGTTGGCTACACCGAGATGAGCAAGTGTGGGATGATGATGCCACCACCAGGCTCCATCCACATAGGGAGGGGTTGATACTCCTCAAACCAGCACCAGGAGCCAGCCTATGGAAGCTGGCACCATGGAGAAGGCACAGGCATGGCAAGAGTGGCTCCCAGTCCCGACCAGGAACAGGGTGTGTGGACACTGGTGCCTGCCTTATTCATCAGTTCATACCTACTGCCAAGGATTCCAATTCATCCAAAAGAGATTGAACCAGGCTGATAAGAGGCTGGATGTGCAGCCTATCCTGGTTCCTCTTTCACCCCCACATAAACAGCAGGAAAGACATTAGTGTGAAATAGATACAACACCCCAAGAGATGAGGCTAAGCCCAGTGGGAAGGGAATCAGAGGCGACTAGAGACAGAGGGACAGAGAAGAGGGAGGGAGACAGATGGAAGGACCTGCACCAGGAGTTATGGGCACAGAAAAGAACATGAAGACACAGAGAGGAAGGAGAGAGACAGACACCAGCAAGGGGAAGCCTCACTCATTCTAGGTGCCATGGATGGGATGATAAAGAGAGACACCTTCTAAACTCACAACCTCTCTTCCTAGGAGTCCACAGAAAACCTTCCCTCCTGGCCCACCCAGGTCCCCTGGTGAAATCAGAAGAGACAGTCATCCTGCAATGTTGGTCAGATGTCAGGTTTCAGCACTTCCTTCTGCACAGAGAAGGGAAGTTTAACGACACTTTGCACCTCACTGGAGAGCACCATGATGGGGTTTCCAAGGCCAACTTCTCCATCGGTCCCATGATGGAAGACCTGGCAGGGACCTACAGATGCTACGGTTCTGTTACTCACTCCCCCATCAGTTGTCAGCTCCCAGTGACCCTCTGGACATCGTCATCACAGGTGAGAGTGTCCGGACATTCTTCTCATTGTCATTGGGATGCAGAGTGAATGATCCACGACTTGGAACCCCCAGGTAGTTGTAAGGAAGATGAGCTTGGTATTCTTATGGAGAGAGACTGACTTGGTGAGGTCTGTACCAACAGAGACAGAGAAACAGGAGACACAAGTACAGACCAGGTGTCATAACAGAGGACAGACACAGGGGCCATACCGGGAGTTAGAAAAGACAGAAGGAGTTAAAGGAGACAGACAGACAGACATGTCCCAGAGAGAGGTGTCCCTCCATGCTGACTTTGCTCAGAGACCTGGCACAGGTTAGAAGTTTCATTTCTGTTTTACCTCCACAAAGTGTTCTCTACCAGGAGAACCCAAGGACACCCATATTTCTGACCTGAGTTGGGCCCTGTGGCCTCAGGCCTTGTGGCACCTACAGATGCCGTGTTTATTCTGACACCTCTGCCTTCCATGTAATGGAGAGTAACCGTCCCAGGATATCATGGCCCCAGAACACCAACTCCTGTATGCTGTGTGAACTTGTGGTCTCCAGACTGGATTCTGAGGCTCACATTCCAAATAACCCCACATATGAAAGGATCACTGAGAGGCACAGAGAGAAATCAGGGACACCAAAAAGCAAAGACATAAACACACAGAGAATGAGCCAGAGGAAGGAGATTGAGAGACTCACAGACACATAAAGAGAGAGAAAAGAGGGCAGAGGAGTGGTGAGAATGATGGAAGGGAGCAGAGAAAAGCACTAAAATTAGACTCCTGAGGGAGAGGCACAAGGACATAGAAAGATGGAGATGTGGGGATGAATTGCAGAGATTCCAAAGAGAACTAGAGAGACCGAGAGGCAGAGCAAGACAGATGATAGATGGATAGATATAGATAGATGATAAATAGGTAGATGATAGATAATAGGTTAAAGATACATAGATGATGATTGATTGATTCATTAATAGATGAGACATAGAGATGATGATGATGAAGACAGATAGATAATACATAGAGATAGAGAGGCAGACAGAAGTCATAGAGAGAGAGATGATACATAGATATAGATAACAGATGATTGATGGATAGATAGACAAGTGATAGATACATAGATGATATATAGATATAGATGACAGGTAGAGAATTTGTAGATAGGCACCGAATAGATAAATAGATAGATCGATAGATAATAGATAGAAATATGCAGAAAGTTATGAACAGGACACAAAGTGAGAAACTTAGAATTTAAAAAAGTAACATCAAGTCAACCAATCCAAGGAGAGTCAGAGAGAATAAAACAATCCAAAAAGGGAAAACATATCTAGAGGTGTGGAAGCGAGGTCAGAGACCTAGAGAGACAGAGAAGGTGGAAGGAGGAAATAGACATGAAGAGAGATGGGGTGGAGGGTGAGAGAGAGAGAGAGAGAGAGCATTAGGTCATAGAGCAGGGGAGTGAGTTCTCAGCTCAGGTGAAGGGAGCTGTGACAAGGAAGATCCTCCGTAAGGAAAATGCCTCTTCTCCTTCCAGGTCTATATGAGAAACCTTCTCTCTCAGCCCAGCCGGGCCCCACGGTTCTGGCAGGAGAGAGCGTGACCTTGTCCTGCAGCTCCCGGAGCTCCTATGACATGTACCATCTATCCAGGGAGGGGGAGGCCCATGAACGTAGGTTCTCTGCAGGGCCCAAGGTCAACGGAACATTCCAGGCTGACTTTCCTCTGGGCCCTGCCACCCACGGAGGAACCTACAGATGCTTCGGCTCTTTCCGTGACTCTCCCTACGAGTGGTCAAACTCGAGTGACCCACTGCTTGTTTCTGTCACAGGTGAGGAAAGCCCATGGCTGTCCCATGTCCTATGATCCTAGAGCCTTAGCTGAGGAGCTTCCTGCTGAGGATGGAGAGAAGGATGAACAGATGCAGAGAGAAGACGAAGCTTGGGTGTGAGGGAGGGATCAGGGCACAGGATGGCAGACAGGGCACCTCCAAACCCTCCTACATGGCCTGCATGAAGGCCTGCGGCCAGGACTCCAGGCACCCAGGCAGATGGAGAAAGCGGTCAGGAGAGACCCAGAGGAGGGAGACTGGGCTCAGTTTGGGAAGATCAGAGGTTCCCTCAGCCCCTCAACATTACCCATTTCCCAGAAGCCCATCCTGGCCTCCCACCCACACAGGGATGTCATCACCTGCAACCCCTACACCCTTTACTTTTGTTTGAGAAATATTTATTGAGGATAAATATACCTATATAGCTTACCACCTTTAACAT
The DNA here is from genome assembly GCF_000001405.40 of Homo sapiens. Lineage (NCBI taxonomy): Eukaryota > Metazoa > Chordata > Mammalia > Primates > Hominidae > Homo > Homo sapiens. Next base: position 107,947 of record NT_187645.1, on the reverse strand, counting down.
TTTTTTTTTGAGGCGGAGTCTAGCTCTGTCCCCTATGCTGGAGTGCATTGGCACAATCTCAGCTCACTGCAACTTCCGCCTCCTGGGTTCAAGCGATTCTCTTGCCTCAGCCACCTGAGTAGCTGGTGCTACAGGCGCGCACCACCATGCCAGGCTACTTTTTGTATTTTTAGTAGAGAGGGGGTTTCACCATGTTGGTCAAGCTGGTCTCGAACTCCTGACCACGTGATCCACCCGCATCAGCCTCCCAAAGTGCTGGGATTACAGGCATGAGCCACCACGCCCAGCCACATTTACCATTTTTAAGTGTAAAGTCTAGTGGTCATAAATACATTAATATATATATATATACACATATTTTTTTTTACCCTCCACCCTTTTCTTCCTGGCCTCTGGTAGCCACCATTCTACTCTCTACCTTCATGAGATCCACCTTTTAGCTCCTGTATATGGGTAAGAAATGGGAATCTTTGTAATGACCTCCAGTTCCATCCATGTGGCTGCAAATATCAGGATGTTTTTCTTTCTATGGAAGAGTAGTCTCCACTATGCAAATGTACCACATTCTCTCTATCCATTCACCCACTGATGGGCAGGTAGGTTGACTCCTCATCTTGGCTACTGTGAAGAGTGCTGCACCAATCATACGAGTGCAGATATCACTTCGATATATTGATTTACTTTCCTTTGGATATAAACCCAGTAGTGAAATTGCTGGATACTATGAAAGTTCTCTTTTTAGTTTTTCGTTTGTTGTTTTGTTTTTGTTTTTGAGACAGTTTCCCTCTGTGCCCAGGCTGGAGTACAAGTGATGTCATCTTGGCTCATTGCAACCTCTGCCTCCTGGGTTCAAATGATTTTCCTGCCTCAGCCTCCCTAGTATCAGGGATTATAGGCGCACGCCACCATGCCTGGCTACTTTTTGTTTTTTTTAGTATAGATGCGGTTTCCCCATGTTGGCTGGGCTGCTCTCAAACTCATGACCTCAACTGAGGTGCCCGCCTCGGTCTCCCAAAGTGCCGGGATTACAGGCATGATCCACCTCACCCAACCTCTTTTTAGTTCTTTAAAGGACTTCCACACTTTTCTCCGTAATGGCTGTACTAATTTACACTCCTACCAACAGGATACCAGGATTCTCCTTTCTCTAACACCTTGCCAGCATTTCTTTTGCCTGTCTTGCAGCTAAAAGCCATTTTATTTTATTTCATTTTATTTTGAGATGGAGTTTCGCTCTTGTCACCCAGGCTGAGTGCAGTGGTGCGATCTCGGCTCACCACAACCTCCACCTCCCAGGTTCAAGCGATTCTCCTGCCTCAGCCTCCCGAGTAGCTGGAATTACAGGCACACGCCACCACGCCCGACTAATTTTTGTATTTTTAGTAGAGACAGTGTTTCTCCATGTGGGTCAGACTGGTCTCAAACTCCCGACCTTATGAGATTCACCCACCTCAGGCTCTCAAAGTTCTAGGATGACAGACGTGAGCCACCACGCCCGGCCTAAAAGCCATTTTAATGGGGTGAGATGAAAACTCACTTTGATTTTAATTTGTGTTTCTCTGATGATGAGTGATACTGAGCACTTTTTCGTATGTGGGGAAATTTCATGTCTTTTGCTCCTGTTTCAATTAAATCATTTGTTTTATTGAGTTGTTTGAGCTTCTTATATTTCTAGTTATTAATCCCATCTCAGATGCATAGTTTGCACATATTTGCTCCCAATCTGTGGGTTGTCTCTTCACTTTGTTGGTTTATTTTTAGCGGTGCAGAAGTTGCTTAGTTTGAGGTAATCCCAATGGTCTATTTTTGCTTCGATTACTTGTGTTTTGAAGGTTTAAAACAAAATGTCTTCCTTCAGACAAACGTCCTGGAGCATTTCCCCAATATTTTCTTCTACGTGTTTCATAGGTTCAGGCCTTAGACTCACATCTTTAATCCATTTTCATTTGATTTTTGTGTATAGTGACAGGCAGAGGTGCAGTTTCATTCCTCTGCATGTCGATGTCCAGGTTTCCCTGCACTGTTTATTGAAAAGACTGTCCTTTCCTGATTGTGAGTTCTTGGCACCTTTGTCAAAGTCCATTGGATGGGCTGGGCATGGTGGCTGACACCTGCAATTTCAGCACTTTGGGAGCCCGAGGTGGGTGGATCACCTGAGGCCAAGAGTTCAAGATTAGTCTGGCCAACGTGATGAAACATCGTCTCCACTAAAAATATAAAAATTAGCTGAGCATGGTGGTCAGCACCTGTAATACCACTACTCAGGAGTTTGAGGCAAGAGAAGTGATTGAACCCAGGAGGCTGTGGTGGCAGTGAACCGAGATTGCACCTCTGCACTCCAGCCTGGGTGACAGAGCAAGACTCCATCTCAAAAGAAAAACAAAAAATACATTGGAGGTAAATGCATGGATTATATCTGTGTTATTCATTCTGCTCCGTTGTTCTATGTGCCTTTCTTCATGCCAACGTCATGCTGTCTTGCTTACTACAGCTCTGTAACATATTTTGAGATCAGGTAGTGTGATGCTCCTGTTTTCTCTTTATACCTTGAAGTCTCAAGACAGTAGCCGTCACATACAAAAATTACGGAAAAAAGGATCCCAGGACTCCCAGGGCCCAATATTAGATAACAGAGTGTTGGCCATGAACCAACCTCAAAGATTTCCACTGAGTAGAGGACAGACACCCTCATTTCCTCACCTCTCTCCTGTCTCATGTTCTAGGAAACCCTTCAAATAGTTGGCCTTCACCCACTGAACCAAGCTCCAAAACCGGTGAGTACAGAACCCTCTTATATCCGCTTTTGGAAACCTGGGGAGGTGGAAACCTTGGATTCAGGCGTTGACTCAGCATCTCACAGCTCTGACATTGTACGCCTGTCTTCTACCATCTCCAAACTCCAGATACTCCAACAGCGAAAGGGATCTGGACCCAAAACAGGGCTCTGTGAAATCTCTTAATCTCTCATTTTATGGAGCTGAGATCTCCTACAAGCTAGAAAAATGATTGGCAATCTGACATCCTTCTCAGGAAAAATGCAATGTTTGTTCTGCCTGCATTCCTAACTGGAGGATAAATTCCTGGGGGCTTGAGAGAGGGAAGGGTAGGGAACATTTGATGAGGGCGAGGTGTTTTAGAGAAGTTCCACTTGCCCAGGAATGAATTACTGTTGGTCATGAAGCAACCCTGGCTGACTCAGCAGAGCAAGAGCTTTGCCTTAACAGAGAACGGAGCTCATGCACGCACACTTCGACTCACTGACTCATTCAGCCACGGCCCCATGCTCAGGCCGTGGAAAAGGCAATTCCCAGCACTGCAGGAGGCCAAGGCGGGTGGATCACTTGAAGTCAGGAGTTCCAGACCAGCCTGGCCAAAATGGTGAAACCCTGTCTCTATGAAAAATACAAAAATTAGCCGAGCATGGTGGTGCATCCCTGTAATCCCAGCTCCTACTCTTGAGGATGAAGCAGGAGAACGACTTCAACCCAGGAGGTGGAGGTTGCAGTGAGTGGAGATTGCATCACTGCACTCCAGCCTGGGTGACACAAGGAGACTCCGTCTCAAAAAATAAAAATAAGAAATGCATAAATATAATAAAACACACACGAATGACAAAGGCACCTGAATTCCAATCATCATTTTTGTATTTCTCTATAATTACTTCTTTGATCCTTTGTCTTATCCATTAGGCAATGAGCCTAAAACCTCTTCCGTATTTGGCTTTCTGTGAGCATGAGACCATATAGAAAATGTGAAAGCCCGCTGAATCCTCCAGCACAGATCGTGGAATAGAGAAAGTGCTCTGTTCATCACAAAAAAAACTTGCCCTCTCACTCAAATCCCCCACTTCACCCCTACTTCCAATCACCTGTGGAGATTCAGATAGACCATGGGGAGGTAAACATTAATACTCCTTGGAGTGAGTCCAGATCTTGGAATGAGAGATCAGCACCAGCACTAGCTCCTGCTCCCCTTTCCTACTAATTCACAGGAGGACAGGTGGTATTGAAGCAATAGATGGTGGAGGGGGTGGTCCTTCCCCCAGCCTCTCAGGTAGAACAGCAGCCTAACATGTGTCTCCCGAGATCACAAAGAGTAGGACGTTTCACAGGGGCTTCAACACGATTTCCTGGCTGTTGGACATAAGATAACTCTATTTCGCTTTTTTATCTTGATTTCACTTTTGTTTCCTTTCCTTGGAGAACGCAAGTTGTTTGACTCAAGAATGCTGTGGATGTAGAAATCCTAAAGCACATTCGCTGTGTGTCAATCCCAGTGCAGTCTTCCCAGAAAAGACCCTAAACACCTCCTAGACTGCACCTGGGCCTACGCCAATTCCTATCACTCACCGTCACTCCAGGGAGACAGAACACACAGAGAATACGTTACATAGGCAGGTTCATTACTAACAGATAAGCAGCGAGTGAAAACAGAAGCCTACATTTCAATGTGAGCCAGTCCCTCAAGGCTCAGAAAAGCTGCTCGGGACATATGGAGTCACCCCATTTGCAGTGTAGCTGGGGGAAGCCAGAAAGCAGCCCAGCCTGGGTTTTGTACCCTGGAGCCACAGGAAGCACTCAGCTAAAGCACTGCATGACGTCCTCCTCCAGGAAGAACAGGAAGACAGCCCAGGCTGCTCTGGGACGTTCCTCCTGATCTCAGGACGTTGCTGTCTTAGTCCATTTTTGTTGCTCTAAAGGAACACTTGAGCCTGGGCAACTTCTAAAGAAAAGAGATTGGTTTGCCTCACCGTTCTGCAGGCTGTACTGGAAGCATGGCACCAGCATCTATTTCTCGTGATGGCCTCAGGCTGCTCCCACTCTGGCAGAAGGGAAGGAGGGTCTGTCTGTGCAGAGACCACAGAGATCACACGGCAAGAGAGGGAGCAAGGGGGAGGGGGAGCGATGGAGCTTCCAAGTTCTTTTGAACAACCAGCTCTCCAGGAACTAATAGAGGGGGAACTAGCTAACCCCGTCTCCTTGGGACAGCATTGATCTGTTCATGATGGATCCACCTCCATGACCCAAACACCTCTCAAGAGGCCCAACCTCCCACAATGGGGGTGAAATTTCAATGTGAGGTTTGAAGGGGTCAAACATCTCAACTAAAGTAGTTGTGTCCTCAGCACATTCTATGGTTACTTTGAGAGCTATAACTGAGAAAGCAGGAGAAAGCTGGGTCTCCCGCCATCTGGGTGCTTGTCCTAAAGAGGTGTTTTACGTGGTTACCTGTCAATCAAGAAATGCGAGACAATTCATAAAGAGGAACTGCTATGATTAGCTTCTTATTGGTGTCTCATCTTCTTCCAGGTAACCCAAGACACCTGCACGTTCTGATTGGGACCTCAGTGGTCATCATCCTCTTCATCCTCCTCCTCTTCTTTCTCCTTCATCGCTGGTGCTCCAACAAGAAAAGTAAGTCTCACGAAGGAGAGGCCAGAGAGCTCAGGGCCATGTGGGGAAGCAGGATGGGAGCACTCAGGTGTGTGTTCCTCACAGGTAGGATGGTCCCTGGCCCAAGGCAGCAGCCACAGAGGCAGGACTTTCTAGAGAGGGCACCAGACTCCCTGTCCCTGCTTTCAGCTCACAGACCGTTGCCTGATTCTGAACTGTATCCTCATGTCCCCTGCAGCCACTCACATCCAGGAGAAGGTTCCATGACAGGCAGAAAGTGGGAGACAGAATCAATGGGATGGGAACTCAGAGCTATTCATGGGATGGGTCCTTGAGCTCAGAGAGATAGAATGTCTGAGTCTGCTGTTGGCAACTGAGGGACCTCAGGCACCTATGGCCTCCCCCTGTTTGTTGGTATCTGCTTATGAAATGAGGACCCAGAAGTGCCCTCCGAGCTCTTTTGTTGACTTCCGTCTCCTACACATGCTGCTGTAATGGACCAAGAGCCTGCAGGGAACAGAACAGCGAATAGCGAGGTAGGTGCTCCTCGGCCCAGCCTCGTGGCTAGTGTTATTCCCAAACAGTCCTGGAAAACGTGAGCACCCTCCCTCACTCAGGATTTCCCTCTCTCCAGGACTCTGATGAACAAGACCCTCAGGAGGTGACATACGTACAGTTGGATCACTGCGTTTTCACACAGAGAAAAATCACTCGCCCTTCTCAGAGGCCCAAGACACCCCCAACAGATACCAGAGTGTACACGGAACTTCCAAATGCTGAGTCCAGATCCAAAGTTGTCTCCTGCCCATGAGCACCACAGTCAGGCCTTGAGGGGATCTTCTAGGGAGACAACAGCCCTGTCTCAAAACCGGGTTGCCAGCTCCCATGTACCAGCAGCTGGAATCTGAAGGCGTGAGTCTGCATCTTAGGGCATCGCTCTTCCTCACACCACAAATCTGAATGTGCCTCTCTCTTGCTTACAAATGTCTAAGGTCCCCACTGCCTGCTGGAGAGAAAACACACTCCTTTGCTTAGCCCACAATTCTCCATTTCACTTGACCCCTGCCCACCTCTCCAACCTTACTGGCTTACTTCCTAGTCTACTTGAGGCTGCAATCACACTGAGGAACTCACAGTTCCAAACATACAAGAGGCTCCCTCTTAACACGGCACTTAGACACGTCCTGTTCCACCTTCCCTCATGCTGTTCCACCTCCCCTCAGAGTATCTTTCAGCCTTCTGTCAGCAGTAAAACTTATATATTTTTTAAAATAATTTCAATGTAGTTTTCCCTCCTTCAAATAAACATGTCTGCCCTCATGGTTTCGGTAATGGGACTCTTTTCTTGCCTAAGACTTCCATTATCATTACCATGTCCACATAACCCCATCTGTTCTCCACTGGGTTCTCACCCCCGGACTCTGAGTTTCTGGAAGCAGGGTGGAGCCTCATTTGTCTCTGGGACTCCTATTTCCATCCAAAGATGTAGCACATAGGAGGTTCCAAGGATCGTGAATCACATGAACAAGTGATATTCTTACTCTCTGCAGACCTGGAAATCTGGCAGAGTCATTCCAAGATGAAACATTTGTAGAATCATAGGCCTTGTTAGTCTCATCTACACAGGGACACATATCAACACATCATCTTTCACACTATAAATATACAGTCACTCCTCCATATCTGTGGGGTTTACAGTTCTTTATTGAACCGAGTATAAATCAAAAATATTCAGAGAAAGTATCCACAGAGTTACAAAAAGCAGAACTGTGTTGAATGGACACAAATGAAGCTGTGTGTAGGCTGCATCAGGAATTATAAGTAATCTAGAGATGATTTCATGTATACAGGAGGATGTGCATAGGTTATTTGCAAACTCTGTGCCATTTCATATAAGAGGCTTGAGCATCTACAGATTTTGGTATCTGAGTGGAGATCTCGAAACCAATCACCCACGAATAGTGAAGGATGACCGTATATGACTTTTATTTCTCAAATTTAAATATAAATCATAAAAAATGTACAACTAGATAAAAACTAAGAAGTGTTTTTATAGTGTGAGTTAGATTTATTTTTTCCTAGGTATAACCCATTGGTTTAATATTATTTATTGAGAAGACATTCTATGCCACCTTAAACCACACGGCAGCCTTTGTCAACTCTAAAGGGACTGTGTGTACACGGATGTACTTTAGACACTGTTTCTGCTAAGGGGCTCTCTGTGTCCACACTCTTGATGATGCTGCACTTTATGTAGCCTTATAGAACCCTTTAAATTTAGTAGCCAGAGCTCTCTAATTTGTTATTATAGGCTATTTGCTTTTTTTTCTTGAGGCGGAGTCTTGCTCTGTCGCCCAGGCTGGACTGCAGTGACACAATCTCAGCTCACTGCAACTTCTGCCTCCCAGGTTCAAGCGATTCTCATGCCTCAGCCTCTTGAGTAGCTGGCGTTACAGGTGCCTGCCACCAGGCACGGCTAATTTTTGGATTTTTAGCAGAGACACGGTTTCACTATATTGGCCAGGCTGCTCTCAAACTCCTTATCTCAGTTGATCCGCCCACCTCGGCTTCCCAACGTGCTGGGGAAACTTGATTTTCTATAGCATTATGTTACTGGATATTTCTGTAAAATTTAAAATGAGGGAGGGAGAGAGACAGACGGAAAACAAACTCCAGAGTTGGGACTCTGGAATCTTGGGTCATGAGACAAATTTTAGATTAAACTACAAAACTCCAGAATTTACAGGTGGGGTTTTTACTGATAAAGTACAATTCTAAGATTGTAAATAATTGCATAATCCTTCCCTGGGAATTTAAATCATTTTAACTGGTTCTGCTGTAATACTAGAAATACAAGCATGAAAAATTCTAATGGTTTATTAGTGACAATGACTCTGAAAACATTAATAATACCTATTAGATATTTTGCATATTACACAGGAAGAAGAGTTTGAATCTCAGATAAAAACAATAGAAATACATGAAAAGTCTTTCATGTTAGCACAGATTTTAGGCATCTCGTGTTCGGGAGGTTGGATCTCAGACGTGTTTTGAGTTGGTCATAGTGAAGGACACTAGGTGTCAAATTCTAGCGAGAACAATTTCCAGGAAGCCGTGTTCCGCTCTTGAGCGAGCACCCACTGGGCCTCATGCAAGGTAGAAAGAGCCTGCGTACGTCACCCTCCCATGATGTGGTCAACATGTAAACTGCATGGGCAGGGCGCCAAATAACATCCTGTGCGCTGCTGAGCTGAGCTCGGTCGCGGCTGCCTGTCTGCTCCGGCAGCACCATGTCGCTCTTGGTCGTCAGCATGGCGTGTGTTGGTGAGTCCTGGAAAGCAATAGAGGGAGGGAGTGAGGGGATGGAGATCTGGGCCCAGAGGTGGAGATATAGGCCTGGAGGTGGAGTTATGGGCCTGGAGTGGAGATCTGGGCCTGGAGTGGATATATGGGCCTAGAGATGGAGTGATGGGCCTAGAAGTGGAGATCTGGGCCCAGAGGTCGAGATATAGGCCTGGAGGTGGAGTGATGGGACTGTAGTGGAGATCTGGGCCTGGAGTGGAGATAGGAACCTGGAGGGGAGATAGGAACCTGGAGGGGAGATATGGGCCTGGAGGTGGAGATATGGGCCTGGAGTGGAGTCATGGGCCTGGAGGTGGAGTTATGGGCCTGCAGTAGAGATATGGGCCTGAAGTGGAGACATGGGCCTGGAGTGGAGATATGGGCCAGGAGTGGAGATATGGGCCTAGAGGTCGATATCTGGGCCTGGAGTGGAGATATGGGCCAGGAGTGGAGATATGGGCCTAGAGGTCGATATCTGGGCCTGGAGAGGAGATATGTGCCTAGGATGGAGATACGGGCCTGGGTGTGGAGATATGGGACTGGAGAGGATATATGGGCCTGGAGTGGAGATATGGGACTGGAGAGGAGATATGGACCTGGAGTGGAGATAAGGGCCTGGATTGGAGATATGGGCCCAGGGTGGAGATCTGAGCCTGGATTGGAGATATGGGCCTGGATTGGCGATATGGGCTTAGGGTGGAAATATCGGCCTGGAGTGGAGATATGGGCCTGGAGTGGAGATATGGGCTTGAGGTGGGGATATGGACCTGGAGGCTGGGTCTCTGCACAGCCGACAGCCCTGTTCTTGGGTGCAGGTAGGCACTGAGGGTGAGTTTACCTTCAGCCCAGGAAGGGCCTGGCTACCAAGACTCACAGCCCAGTGGGGGCAGCAAGGGTGCCCTGGTTTGCCTGCAGATGGGTCATCCATCATGATCTTTCTTTCCAGGGTTCTTCTTGCTGCAGGGGGCCTGGCCACATGAGGGTGAGTCCTTCTCCCAACCTTCGGGTGTCATCTCCCCACATAAGAGGATTTTCCTGAAATGGGAGGGAAGTCCTGTCAGGGAGTCTCTCATAAACTAGGAAGAAGGGACCCTGGGGTGCTGGGCCCACATTTCTGACCTTGCCTCCCTGGCCTTTCATTCCCTTGGCAGAGTCAAGTTCTGTGGGGACCAGGGTTAGACTACGGTGCTCAAAGCTGGGGTGTGTGGTGGGGAAGTGGTAGGAACAGCAGATCCTCTGAGGACAAAGGTGTTACTCACACACTTCAGCGTTTCCATGACGGTAGGGGCTGCAGTGTGGCTGCTGTCATTCTACCAGAAGAGGTGGGAAAACCACAGCCATGGCCCTGACATTCCAATCCTCTGATGGGGACTCAGTTGTTTATTTTCGTTCAGGCATCGGCTGATATTCCATTCTCAAAGGACATGCCCTCCACCCCATGTCTACCCTGTGTTGTTTTATGTGAGTAATCTTACAGTATTAAAATCTAGTAGGAGTCTCTTACTCAGCACTTGCTCAAAGTTCTCAGCTGACACTTTTGTTGTAGGGAGACACCTTGTGTTTGCGGGATGGGTCCTTCCTTTAGCCCTGGGCACCAAGGTGTGATAGCAGCCATAGAAACTTGGAAAGCGAGGAGAATCTTCAGAGCACAGGGAGGGAGGGGCGGCTCCACATCCTCCTCTCTAAGGCGGTGCCTCCTTCTCCCCACGGTGGTCAGGACAAGCCCTTGCTGTCTGCCTGGCCAAGCCCTGTGGTGCCTCCAGGACATGTGATTCTTCAGTGTCATTCTTATCTTGGGTTTAACAACTTCAGTCTGTAAAAGGAAGATGGGGTGCCTGTCCCTGAGCTCTACAACATAATATTCTGGAACAGCCTTTTCATGGGCCCTGTGACCCCAGCACACGCAGGGACCTATACATGTCGGGGTTCACAACCACACTACCCCAGTGGGTGGTCGGCACCCAGCAACCCCCTGGAGATCACGGTCACAGGTCAGAGGGCTCCTGTCTGGGATTCTCCTTGTCCCACCTCCTGAATCCCAGAGCTCCTGGTGGGCGTGTCCTTGCGGGTCCCATCATGCAAGTCCTGACTGTATTTGGGGTAAAGGGGGATTGAATACAGGGAAATGGGTGCTGTGGTGGGAAGAATAATTGTCCCCAGTGATGACTACATTCTAATCCCTGGAGTCTGTGACTATTTATGATATAGGGGAAGGGACTGAAGGAGAAGATGGAGCTCAGGTTGTTGATGAGTTGACCTTGAGATGGGGAGACAGCCTGGACTGTCCTGATGGGCTCAGTGTAGTCACAGGGGTCCACATGAAAGGAGGAGGAAGAGGGGAGTGGGGATTACAGCAGCATAATGGGAGTCTCCATCAGCTTTGAAGGTGGAGGAAGTCCAGGAGCCATGAATGCAGGTGGCCTATAGAGGCTGGAAAAGTCAAGGAACTGATTCTCCTGAGTCTCCAGAGGGAACGAAGCCCTGCAGGTGCCTTGATTTTACCCACGACAAACAGGGTCCGATTTCTGTCTCCAGAATTGGAAGGGGTTAGTGTGCTCTCTCCTGGTGCCATGCTTCTGATAATTTTCTACAGCAGCAACAGGAAACCAACACTGGAACCCAGGTCAAGGACAAGTTAAGAAACAACACAAGGATAGCCAGGCATGGTGGCAGGTGCATGTAATCCTAGCGACTTGGGAGGCTGAGGGCAGGAGAATCACTTGAACCCAGGAGACAGAGGTTGCAGTGAGCCTAGACCACACCACTTCACTCCAGCCTGGGCAAAGGAGTGAGACTCTGTCGCCAAAATTAATTAATTAATTAAAGAAACCAAACAAGGAGAAGGTTGGCTACACTGAGATCAGCAAGGCTCAGATGATGATGCCACCACCAGGCTCCATCCACATAGGGAGGGGTTGATACTCCTCCAACCAGCACCAGGAGCCAGCCTATGGAAGCTGGCACTGGCATGGCAAGAGTGGCTCCCAGTCCCTACCAGGAACAGGGTGTGTGGCCACTGGTGCCTGCCTTACTGATCAGTTCATACCTCCTGCCAAGGATTCCAATTCGTCCAAAAGAGATTGAACCAGGCTGCTAAGAGCCTGGATGTGCAGCCTATCCTGGTTCCTCTTCCACCCCCACATAGACAGCAGGAAAGACATTAGTTCGAAATAGATACAACAGCCCAAGAGATGAGGCTGAGCCCAGCGGCAAGGGAATCAGAGGCTACTAGAGACAGAGGGACAGAGAAGAGTGAGGGAGACAGATGGAAGGACCTGCACCAGGAGTTATGGGCACAGAAAAGAACATGAAGACACAGAGAGGAAGGAGAGAGATAAGACACCAGGAAGGGGAAGCCTGACTCAATCCAGGTGCCATGGATGGGATGATAAAGAGAGACACCTTCTAAACTCACAACCTCTCTTCCTAGGAGTCCACAGAAAACCTTCCCTCCTGGCCCACCCAGGTCGCCTGGTGAAATCAGAAGAGACAGTCATCCTGCAGTGTTGGTCAGATGTCATGTTTGAACACTTCCTTCTGCACAGAGAGGGGATGTTTAACGACACTTTGCGCCTCATTGGAGAACACCATGATGGGGTCTCCAAGGCCAACTTCTCCATCAGTCGCATGACGCAAGACCTGGCAGGGACCTACAGATGCTACGGTTCTGTTACTCACTCCCCCTATCAGGTGTCAGCTCCCAGTGACCCTCTGGACATCGTGATCATAGGTGAGAGTGTCCAGACTTTCTTCTCATTGTCATTGGGATGCAGAGTGAATGATCCAGGAATTGGAGACCCAGGTGGCTGTAAGGAAGATGAGCTTGGTATTCTTATGGAGAGAGACTGACTTGGTGAGGTCTGTGCCAACAGAGACAGAGAAACAGGAGACACAAGTAGAGACCAGGTGTCATAACAGAGAACAGACACAGGGGCCATACCGGGAGTTAGAAAAGACAGAAAGAGTTAAAGGAGACACACAGACAGACATGTCCCAGAGAGAGGTGTCCCTCCATGCTGACTTTGCTCAGAGACCTGGCACAGGTTAGAAGTTTCATTTCTGTTTTACCTCCACAAAGTGTTCTCTACCAGGAGAACCCAAGGACACCCATATTTCTGACCTGAGTTGGGCCCTGTGGCCTCAGGCCTTGTGGCACCTACAGATGCCATGTTTATTCTGACACCTCTGCCTTCCATGTAATGGAGAGTAATCGTCCCAGGATATCATGGCCCCACAACACCAACCCCTGTATGCTGTGTGAACTTGTAGTCTCCAGACTGGATTCTGAGGCTCATATTCCAAATAAGCCCACTTATGAGAGGATCAGTGAGAGGCACAGAGAGAAATCAGGGACACCAAAAAGCAAAGACATAAACACACAGAGAATGAGCCAGAGGAAGGAGATTGAGAGACTCACAGACACATAAAGAGAGAGAAAAGAGGGCAGAGGAGTGGTGAGAATGATGGAAGGGAGCAGAGAAAAGCACTAAAATTAGACTCCTGAGGGAGAGGCACAAGGACATTGAAAGATGGAGATGTGGGGATGAATTGCAGAGATTCCAAAGAGAACTAGAGAGACCGAGAGGCAGAGCAAGACAGATGATAGATGGATAGATATAGATAGATGATAAATAGGTAGATGATAGATAATAGGTTATAGATACATAGATGATGATTGATTGATTCATTAATAGATGAGACATAGAGATGATGATGATGAAGACAGATAGATAGATAATACATAGAGATACAGAGGCAGACATAGAGAAATCATAGAGAGAGAGAGATGATACATAGATATAGATAATAGATGATTGATGGATAGATAGACAATTGATGGATAAATAGATGATATATAGATATAGATGACAGGTAGAGAATTTGTAGATAGGCACCGAATAGATAAATAGATAGATCGATAGATAATAGATAGAAATATGCAGAAAGTTATGAACAGGACACAAAGTGAGAAACTCAGAATTAAAAAAAGTAACATCAAGTCAACCAATCCAAGGAGAGTCAGAGAGAATAAAACAATCCAAAAAGAGAAAACATATCTAGAGGTGGGGAAGTGAGGTCAGAGACCTAGAGAGACAGAGAAGGTGGAAGGAGGAAATAGACATGAAGAGCGATGGGGTAGAGGGTGAGAGAGAGAGAGAGAGAGCATTAGGTCATAGAACAGGGGAGTGAGTTCTCAGCTCAGGTGAAGGGAGCTGTGACAAAGAAGATCCTCCCTGAGGAAACTGCCTCTTCTCCTTCCAGGTCTATATGAGAAACCTTCTCTCTCAGCCCAGCTGGGCCCCACGGTTCTGGCAGGAGAGAATGTGACCTTGTCCTGCAGCTCCCGGAGCTCCTATGACATGTACCATCTATCCAGGGAAGGGGAGGCCCATGAACGTAGGCTCCCTGCAGGGCCCAAGGTCAACGGAACATTCCAGGCTGACTTTCCTCTGGGCCCTGCCACCCACGGAGGGACCTACAGATGCTTCGGCTCTTTCCATGACTCTCCATACGAGTGGTCAAAGTCAAGTGACCCACTGCTTGTTTCTGTCACAGGTGAGGAAAGCCCATGGCTGTCCCATGTCCTATGATCCTAGAGCCTTAGCTGAGGAGCTTCCTGCTGAGGATGGAGAGAAGCATGGACAGATGCAGAGAGAAGACGCAGCCTCGGTGTGAGGGAGGGATCAGGGCACAGGATGGCCGACAGGGCACCTCCAAACCCTCCTACATGGCCTGCATGGAGGCCCACGGCCAGGGCTCCAGGCACCCAGGCAGATGGAGAAAGCGGTCAGGAGAGACCCAGAGGAGGGAGACTGGGCTCAGTTTGGGGAGATCAGAGGTTCCCTCAGCCCCTCAACCTTACCCATTTCCCAGAAGCCCATCCTGGCCTCTCACCCACACAGAGATGTCATCACCAGCAACCCCTACACCCTTTACTTTTCTTTGAAGAAATATTTATTGAGGATAAATATACCTATATAGCTTACCACTTTTAACATTTTTTTTTGAGGTGGAGTCTAGCTCTGTCCCCTATGATGGAGTGCAGTGGCACAATCTCAGCTCACTGCAACCTCCGCCTCCTGGGTTCAAGCGATTCTCCTGCCTCAGCCACCTGAGTAGCTAGTGCTACAGGCACGCACCACCACGCCAGGCTACTTTTTGTATTTTTAGTAGAGAGGTGGTTTCACCATGTTGGTCGAGCTGGTCTCGAACTCCTGACCACGTGATCCACCCGCATCAGCCTCCCAAAGTGCTGGGATTACAGGCATGGGCCACCAGGCCCAGCCACATTTACCATTTTTAAGTGTAAAGTCTAGTGGTCATAAATACATTTTTATATATATATATATATACATTTTTTTTACCCTCCACCCTTTTCTTCCTGTCCTCCAGTAGCCACCATTCTACTCTCTACCTTCATGAGATCCACCTTTTAGCTCCTGTATATGGGTGAGAAATGGGAATCTTTTTAATGACCTCCAGTTCCATCCATGTGGCTGCAAATGACAGGATGTTATTCTTTCTATGGATGAGTAGTCTCCACTGTGCGTATGTACTACATTCTCTCTATCCATTCACCCACTGATGGGCAGGTAGGTTGACTCCTCATCTTGGCTACTGTGAACAGTGCTGCACCAATCATACGAGTGCAGATATCACTTCGATATGTTGATTTACTTTCCTTTGGATATAAACCCAGTAGTGAAATTGCTGGATACTATGAAAGTTCTCTTTTTTTTTTTTTTTTCTTTTTTGAGAAAGAGTTTCCCTCCTTAGCCCAAGCTGGAGTCAAAGTGGTGCAACCTTGGCTCATTGCAACCTCCGCCTCCTGGGTTCAAATGATTTTCCTGCCTCAGCCTCCCTAGTAGCTGGGATTACAGGTGCACACCACCATGCCTGGCTACTTTTTGGTTTTTTTAGTATAGATGCGGTTTCCCCATGTTGGCTGGGCTGCTCTCAAACTCATGACCTCAACTGAGGTGCCCGCCTCAGTCTCCCAAAGTGCCGGGATTACAGGCATGATCCACCTCACCCAACCTCTTTTTAGTTCTTTAAAGGACTTCCATACTTTTCTCCGTAATGGCTGTACTAATTTACACTCCTCCCAACAGGGTACCAGGGTTCTCCTTTCTCTACCACCTTGCCAGCATTTCTTTTGCCTGTCTTGCAGCTAAAAGCCATTTTATTTTATTTCATTTTATTTTGAGATGGAGTTTTGCTCTTCTCACCCAGGCTGGAGTGCAGTGGCGCTATCTCGGCTCACCACAACCTCCACCTCCCAGGTTCAAGCGATTCTCCTGCCTCAGCCTCCCGAGTAGCTGGAATTACAGGCACACGCCACCACGCCCTACTAATTTTTGTATTTTTAGTAGAGACAGCGTTTCTCTATGTGGGTCAGACTGGTCTCAAACTCCCAACCTTATGAGATTCACCCACCTCAGGTTCTCAAAGTTCTAGGATGACACAAGTGAGCCACCTCACCCGGCCTAAAAGCCATTTTAATGGGGTGAGATGAAAACTCACTTTGATTTTAATTTGCGTTTCTCTGATGATGAGTGATACTGAGCACTTTTTCGTATGTGGGGAAATTTCATGTCTTTTGCTCCTTTTTCAATTAAATCATTTGTTTTATTGAGTTGTTTGAGCTTCTTATATTTCTAGTTATTAATCCCATCTCAGATGCATAGTTTGCACATATTTGCTCCCAATCTGTGGGTTGTCTCTTCACTTTGTTGGTTTATTTTTAGCAGTGCTGAAGTTGCTTAGTTTGAGGTAATCCCAATGGTCTATTTTTGCTTCGATTACTTGTGTTTTGAAGGTTTAAAACAAAATGTCTTCCTTCAGACAAACGTCCTGGAGCATTTCCCCAATATTTTGTTCTACGTGTTTCATAGGTTCAGGCCTTAGACTCACATCTTTAATCCATTTTCATTTGATTTTTGTGTATGGTGACAGGTAGAGTTGCAGTTTCATTCCTCTGCATGTAGATGTCCAGGTTTCCCTGCACTGTTTATTGAAAAGACTGTCCTTTCCTGATTGTGAGTTCTTGGCATCTTTGTCAAAGTCCATTGGATGGGCTGGGCTTGGTGGCTAACACCTGCAATTTCAGCACTTTGGGAGCCCGAGGTGGGTGGATCACCTGAGGCCAGGAGTTCAAGATTAGTCTGGCCAACGTGATGAAACATCGTCTCCACTAAAAATATAAAAATTAGCTGAGCATGGTGGTCAGCACCTGTAATACCACTACTCAGGAATTTGAGGCAAGAGAATGATTGAACCCAGGAGGCTGAGGTTGCAGTGAACCGAGATTGCACCTCTGCACTCCAGCCTGAGTGACAGAGCAAGACTCCATCTCAAAAGAAAAAATAAAAAACCATTGGATGTAAATGCATGGAATATATCTGTGTTATTCATTCTGCTCCGTTGTTCTATGTGCCTTTCTTTATGCCAATGTCATGCTATTTTGCTTACTACAGCTCTGTAACATATTTTGAGATCAGGTAGTGTGATGCTCCTGTTTTCTCTTTATATCTTGAAGTCTCAAGACAGTGGGTGTCATATAAAAAAATTATGGAAAAAAGGATCCCAGGACTCCCAGGGCTCAATATTAGATAAGAGAGTGTTGGCCATGAACCATCCTCAAAGATTTCCACTGAGTGGAGGACAGACACCCTCATTTCCTCACCTCTCTCCTGTCTCATGTTCTAGGAAACCCTTCAAATAGTTGGCCTTCACCCACTGAACCAAGCTCCAAAACCGGTGAGTACAGAACCCTCTTATATCCGCTTTTGGAACCCTGGGGAGGTGGGAACCTTGGATTCAGGCGTTGACTCAGCATCTCACAGCTCTGACATTGTACACTTGTCTTCCACCATCTCCGAACTCCAGATACTCCTACAGCGAAAGGGATCTGGGCCCAACACAGGGCTCAGTGAAATCTCTTCATCTCTCATTTTATGGAGCTGAGACCTCCTACAAGCTAGAAGAATGATTGCCAATCTGACATCCTTCTCAGGAAAAATGCAATGTTTGTTCTACCTGCATTCCTAACTGGAGGATAAATTCCTGGAGACTTGAGAGAGGGAAGGGAAGGGAACATCTGATGAGGGCAAGGTGTTTTAGAGAAGTTCCACTTGCCAAGGAATGAGCTCCTGTAGGTCATGAAGCAACCCTGGCTGACTCCGCAGAGAAAGAGCCTTGCCGTAACAGAGAACAGAGCTCATGCACGCACACTTCGACTCACTGACTCATTCAGCCACGGCCCCATGCTCAGGCTGTGCAGTGTGGAACCTTTTCCTATTGTTGCCATAACAAATTTCCACAAGATTCGTGGGTGAAAACAAAACGGTTTTTTAATTATCTTACAGTGCTGTAGCTCAAAGTAGGAAGTGCATCTTACTGGGCTAAAATCAAGGTGACAGCAAGGCTGCCTTCCCTCTGAGGATTCCAGGCACGAATCTGCTTCTCACTTGTCCCAGCTTCTAAAGGCTCCCAGTTCCTTGGCTCCTGGTCCCCTTCCTCCTTCCTCAAAGCCCACAAAGACTGGTCACATCTCACATGGCATCACTCAGTGCCTTCTTCCTTACCACACCTCTTTCTCTGAGTGCTGCTCTCCCTTCTTCCTCATCTTTTGAAAACTTGGGGATTCTATTGGGTTCACCAAGATGAAAATCCCTCATAATCTCCTGGAAATCATCCAGGATACCCTTGTTTTAAGTTCAGCTGATTAGCAACCATAATTCCATCTGCAATCTTCATTCCTCCTTTCCATGTAAAATAACATATTCACAAGCTATGGAGGCTAGGACAGGGACATTTTGGGGTGGGACAGCATTCTCCTGCCTTCCACAAACAGTGAACAAGATGCATTTGGCCTCTGCCCTTGGGACACTGATATTGCAGATGGTTAAATGGGAGGGCAGAAAATGAACGCACAAGTGGATCTATAAATGAATGGTCCATTGGGAAGCATCTGTGCATGAAATCTATTTTTTGTTTGTTCTTTTGTTTATTGAGACAGAGTCGCCCTCTGTCTTCCAGGCTACAGTGCAGTGTCACGATCTTGGCTCACTGCAACCTGCGTCTCCTGGATTCAAGTGATTCTCCTGCCTCCGCCTCTCGAGTAGCTGGGATTACAGGCAACTGCCACCGTGCCCGGCTAATTCTTTTTGTATATTTTTTGTAGAGAGGATGTTTCACCACGTTGGCCAAGCTTGTCTGAAACTCCCAACCTCAAGTGATCCGACCGTCTCAGCATGCCAAAGTAATGGGACTACAGGCGTGAGCCACTGTGCCCAGCCAGAATTCAAAATCAATAATAGATAATGCTGAGTGTATGATTTCAGGTGACAAAGAAGGTCTCACTATTCAGATATTTGTGACATTAATGAAAAACACGGAATGAACCCCTGAAAGATTGGCAGAAGGATTTTGCACACACAGCTGTCAGCCATGAAGGCACAAAGGTGAAAACAATCTGATGTGGAAGGAAGAGGCTCTGACTCAAATGCTGGGAATGAGGTGGGGAGAATGACAAGACGACTGTAGAGAGACGGAGAGCACACTGGGTACACAGGAAACTAAGGAGCAACAAGGAGTGTGTGTTTGACACTCACAGCCATTGGATTCACCTCGGGGTAACCAGGAATCCCTACATGATTAATATGACTGACATGAAAATAAGGGAGGCCCAGGTGCATAACTGGAATCTAGGAGACCGTGGAAAAGGCAATTGCCGCCCCACTGGTGAAATGTGGTGCTGATTTAGACACTAAATGAATGAAGTAGATGGATATAAGATATGTTTGTGAGGTAGAATCATTGACTGGAAAGGCTTACTGGGTTTGATTTTCCTACTTGTTTAATCCTCGCTTAATTAATTTCTTTCTGAGATTTATTCATCCTACACATAAATCAATACCTGGCAAAGGAGTGACAGATATATGAGTGGTGGTGGAAATGAAGAGACTTATTATAGCATAATATACAAGTCTGTGAACAGTGGCTCACGCCTGTAACCTAGCACTGCAGGAGGCCAAGGTGGGTGGATTCCATGAAGTCAGGAGTTCCAGACCAGCCTGGCCAACGTGGTGAAACCCTATCTCTACTAAAAATACAAAAATTAGCCGAGCACGATGGTGCATCCCTGTAATCCCAGCTCCTATTCTGGAGGATGAAGCAGGAGAATGACTTCAACCCAGTAGGTGGAGGTTGCAGTGAGTGGAGATTGCATCACTGCACTCCAGCCTGGGGGACACAAGGAGACTCTATCTCAAAAAATAAAAATAAGAAATACATAAATATAATAAAACACACACGAATGACAAAGGCACCTGAATTCCAATCATCGTTTTTCTATTTCTCTATAATTACTTCTTTGATCCTTTATCTTATCCATTAGGCAATGAGCCTAAAACCTCTTCCCTATTTGGCTTTCTGTGAGCATGAGATCATATAGAAAATGTGAAAGCCCGCTGAATCCTCCAGCACAGATCCTGGAATAGAGAAAGTGCTCTGGTCATCACAAAAAAAACTTGCCCACTCACCCAAATCCCCCACCTCACCCCTACTTCCAATCACCTGTGGAGATTCAGATAGACCATGGGGAGGTAAACATTAACACTCCTTGGAGTGAGTCCAGATCTTGGAATCAGAGATCAGCGACAGCACTAGCTCCTGCTCCCCTTTCCTACTAATTCACAGGAGGACAGGTGGTTTTGAAGCAATAGATGGCCGAGGGGGTGGTCCTTCCCCCAGCCTCTCGGGTAGAACAGCAGCCTAATATGTGTCTCCCGAGATCACAAAGAGCAGCAGGTTTCACACGGGCTTCAACACTATTTCCTGGCCGTTTGACATAAGAGAATTCTATTTCGCTTTTTTTATCTTGATTTCACTTTTGTTTTCTTTCCTTGGAGAATGCAAGTTGTTTGATTCAAGAATGCTGTGGATGTAGAAACCCTAAAGCACATTCGCTGTGAATCAATCCCAGTCCAGTCTTCCCAGAGAAGACTCTAAACACCTCCTGGACTGCACCTGGGCCTATGCCAATTCCTATCACTCACCGTCACTCCAGGGAGACAGAACACACAGAGAATACGTTACATAGGCAGGTTCATTACTAACAGATAAGCAGCGAGTGACAACAGAAACCTATATTTCAATGTGACCCAGTCCCTCAAGGCTCAGAAAAGCTCCTCGGGACATATGGAGTCACCCCATTTGCAGTGTAGCTGCGGGAAGCCAGAAAGCAGCCCAGCCTGGGTTTTGTACCCTGGAGCCACAGGAAGCACTCAGCTAAAGCACTGCATGACGTCCTCCAGGAAGAACAGGAAGACAGCCCAGGGTGTTCTGAGACGTTCCTCCTGATCTCAGGAAGTTGCTGTCTTAGGCCATTTTTGTTGCTCTAAAGGAACACTTGAGCCTCGGTAACTTCTAAAGAAAAGAGATTGGTTTGCCTCACCGTTCTGCAGGCTGTACTGGAAGCATGGCACCAGCATCTATTTCTCGTGACGGCCTCAGGCTGCTCCCACTCTGGCAGAAGGGAAGGAGGGTCTGTCTGTGCAGAGACCACAGAGATCACACGGCAAGAGAGGGAGCAAGGGGGAGGGGGAGTGATGGAGCTTCCAAGCTCTTTTTAACAACCAGCTCTCCGGGAACTAATAGAGGGGGAACTTGCTAACCCCGTCTCCTTGGGACAGCATTGATGTGTTCATGATGGATCCACCTCCATGACCCAAACACCTCTCAAGAGGCCCAACCTCCCACAGTGGGGGTGAAATTTCAATGTGAGGTTTGAAGGGGTCAAACATCTCAACTAAAGTAGTCGTATCCTCAGCACGTTCTATGGTTACTATGAGAGCTATAACTGAAAAAGCAGGAGAAAGCTGGGTCTCCTGCCATCTGGGTGCTTGTCCTAAAGAGGTGTTTTATGTGGTTACCTGTCAATCAAGAAATGCGAGACAATTCATAAAGAGGAACTGCTAAGATTAGCTTCTTATTGGTGTCTCATCTTCTTCCAGGTAACCCCCGACACCTGCACATTCTGATTGGGACCTCAGTGGTCATCATCCTCTTCATCCTCCTCTTCTTTCTCCTTCATCGCTGGTGCTCCAACAAAAAAAGTAAGTCTCACGAAGCAGAGGCCAGAGAGCTCAGGGCCATGTGGGGAAGCAGGATGGGAGCACTCAGGTGTGTGTTCCTCACAAACAGGATGGTCCCTGGCCCAAGGCAGCAGCCACAGAGGCAGGACTTTCTAGAGAGGGCACCAGACTCCCTGTCCCTGCCTTCAACTCACAGACCGTTGCCTGATTCTGAACTGTATCCCCATGTCCCCTGCAGCCACTCACATCCAGGAGAAGGTTCCATGACAGGCAGAAAGTGGGAGACAGAATCAATGGGATGGGAAC
Organism: Homo sapiens; assembly: GCF_000001405.40. Lineage (NCBI taxonomy): Eukaryota > Metazoa > Chordata > Mammalia > Primates > Hominidae > Homo > Homo sapiens. Next base: position 85,806 of record NT_187645.1, on the reverse strand, counting down.
TCAGAGCTATTCATGGGATGGGTCCTTGAGCTCAGAGAGATAGAATGTCTGAGTCTGCTGTTGGCAACTGAGGGACCTCAGCCACCTATGGTCTCCCCCTGTATGTTGGTATCTGCTTATGAAATGAGGACCCAGAAGTGCCCTCCGAGCTGTTTTGTTGACTTCCATCTTCTACAGATGCTGCGGTAATGGACCAAGAGTCTGCAGGAAACAGAACAGCGAATAGCGAGGTAGGTACTCCTCGGCCCGGGCTCGTGGCTACTGTTATTCCCAAAGAGTCCTGGAAAATGTGAGCACCCTCCCTCACTCAGCATTTCCCTCTCTCCAGGACTCTGATGAACAAGACCCTCAGGAGGTGACATACACACAGTTGAATCACTGCGTTTTCACACAGAGAAAAATCACTCGCCCTTCTCAGAGGCCCAAGACACCCCCAACAGATATCATCGTGTACACGGAACTTCCAAATGCTGAGTCCAGATCCAAAGTTGTCTCCTGCCCATGAGCACCACAGTCAGGCCTTGAGGGCGTCTTCTAGGGAGACAACAGCCCTGTCTCAAAACCGGGTTGCCAGCTCCCATGTACCAGCAGCTGGAATCTGAAGGCGTGAGTCTGCATCTTAGGGCATCGATCTTCCTCACACCACAAATCTGAATGTGCCTCTCTCTTGCTTACAAATGTCTAAGGTCCCCACTGCCTGCTGGAGAAAAAACACACTCCTTTGCTTAACCCACAGTTCTCCATTTCACTTGACCCCTGCCCACCTCTCCAACCTAACTGGCTTACTTCCTAGTCTACTTGAGGCTGCAATCACACTGAGGAACTCACAATTCCAAACATACAAGAGGCTCCCTCTTAACGCAGCACTTAGACACGTGTTGTTCCACCTTCCCTCATGCTGTTCCACCTCCCCTCAGACTAGCTTTCAGTCTTCTGTCAGCAGTAAAACTTATATATTTTTTAAAATAACTTCAATGTAGTTTTCCATCCTTCAAATAAACATGTCTGCCCCCATGGTTTCGGTAATGGGACTCTTTTCTTGCCTAAGGCTTCCGGTGTTATCAGTACCATGTCCATATAATCCCATCTGTTCCCCACTGAGTTCTCATCCCCGGACTCTGAGTTTCTGGAAGCAGGGTGGAGCCTCATTTGTCTCTGGGACTCCAATTTCCATCCAAAGATGTAGCACATAGGAGGTTCCAAGGATCACGAATCATATGAACAAGTGATACTCTTACTCTCTGCAGACCTGGAAAGCTGGCAGAGTCATTCCACAATGAAACATTTGTAGAATCATAGGCCTTGTTAGTCTCATCTCCATGGGGACACATATCAACACATCATCTTTCATAATATAAATATACGGTCACTCCTCCATATCTGCGGGGTTTACAGGTGTTTATTGAACCAAGTATAAATCAAAAATATTGAGAGAAAGTATCCACAGAGTTTCAAAAAGCATAACTATGTTGAATGGACACAAATGAAGCTGTGTGTAGGCTGTATCAGGAATTATAAGTAATCTAGAGATGATTTCATGTATACAGGAGGATGTGCATAGGTTATTTGCAAACGCTGTGCCATTTCATATAAGAGGCTTGAGCATCTACAGATTTTGGTATCTGAGTGGAGATCTCAAAACCAATCACCCACGAATAGTGAAGGATGACCGTATATGACTTTTATTTCTCAAATTTAAATATAAATCATAAAAAATGTACAACTAGATAAAAACTAAGAAGTGTTTTTATAGTGTGAGTTAGATTTATTTTTTCCTAGGTGTAACCAATTGGTTTAATATTATTTATTGAGAAGACATTCTATGCCACCTTAAACCACACGGCAGCCTTTGTCAACTCTAAAGGGACTGTGTGTACATGGATGTATTTTAGACACTGTTTCTGCTAAGGGGCTCTCTGTGTCCACACTCTTGATGATGCTGCACTTTATGTAGCCTTATAGAACCCTTTAAATTTAGTAGCCAGAGCCCTCTAATTTGTTATTATAGGCTGTTTGCTTTTTTTTTCTTGAGGCGGAGTCTTGCTCTGTCGCCCAGGCTGGACTGCAGTGGCACAATCTCAGCTCACTGCAACCTCCGCCTCCCAGGTTCAAGCGATTCTCGTGCCTCAGCCTCTTGAGTAGCTGGCGTTACAGGTGCCTGCCACCAGGCACGGCTAATTTTTGGATTTTTAACAGAGACACGGTTTCACTATATTGGCCAGGCTGCTCTCAAACTCCTTATCTCAGTTGATCCGCCCACCTCGGCTTCCCAACGTGCTGGGGAAAACTTGATTTTCTATAGCATTATGTTACTGGATATTTCTGTAAAATTTAAAACGAGGGAGGGAGAGAGACAGACAGAGAGCAAACTCCAGAGTTGGGACTCTGGAATCTTGGGTCATGAGACAAATTTTAGATTAAACTACAAAACTCCAGAATTTACAGGTGTGGTTTTTGCTGATAAAGTACAATTCTAAGATTGTAAATAATTGCATAATCCTTCCCTGGGAATTTAAATCATTTTAGCTGGTTCTGCTGTAATACTAGAAATACAAGCATGAAAAATTCTAATGGTTTATTAGTCACAATGACTCCGAAAACATTAATAATACCTATTAGATACTTTGCATATTACACAGGAAGAAGAGTTTGAATCTCAGATAAAAACAAAAAAAATACATGAAAAGTCTTTCATGTTAGCACAGATTTTAGGCATCTCGTGTTCGGATAAAAATACATGAAAAGTCTTTCACGTTAGCACAGATTTTAGGCATCTTGTGTTCGGGAGGTTGGATCTGAGACGTGTTGTGAGTTGGTCATAGTGAAGGACGTGAGGTGCCAATTCTAGTGAGAACAATTTCCAGGAAGCCGTGTTCCGCTCTTGAGCAAGCATCCACTGGGCCTCATGCAAGGTAGAAAGAGCCTGCGTACGTCACCCTCCCATGATGTAGTCAACATGTAAGCTGCATGGGCAGGGCGCCAAATAACATCCTGTGCGCTGCTGAGCTGAGCTGGGGCGCGGCCGCCTGTCTGCACCGGCAGCACCATGTCGCTCATGGTCGTCAGCATGGCGTGTGTTGGTGAGTCCTGGAAAGGAATAGAGGGAGGGAGTGCCACATCCTCCTCTCTAAGGTGGCGCCTCCTTCTCCCCCAGGTGGTCAGGACAAGCCCTTCCTCTCTGCCTGGCCCAGCCCTGTGGTGTCTGAAGGAGAACATGTGGCTCTTCAGTGTCGCTCTCGTCTTGGGTTTAACGAATTCAGTCTGTCCAAAGAAGACGGGATGCCTGTCCCTGAGCTCTACAACAGAGTATTCCGAAACACCGTTTTCATAGGCCCTGTGACCCCAGCACATGCAGGGACCTACAGATGTCGGGGTTCACACCCACACTTCCTCACTGGGTGGTCAGCACCCAGCAACCCCCTGGTGATCATGGTCACAGGTCAGAGGGCTCCTGTCTGGGATTCTCCTTGTCCCACCTCCTGAGTCCCAGAGCTTCTGGTGGGAGTGTCCACCAGCGTCCCATCATCCAGACCCTAACTGTATTTGGGGTAAAAGGGGATTGAATACAGGGAAATGGGTGCTGTGGTGGAAAGAATAATTGTCCCCAATGATGACTGCATTCTAATCCCTGCAGTCTGTGACTATTTATGTTATAGGGGAAGGCACTGAAGGGGAAGATGGAGCTCAGGTTGTTGAGTTGACCTTGAGATGGGGAGACAGCCTGGACTGTCCTGCTGGGCTCAGTGTAATCACAAGGGTGCACATGAGAGGAGAAGGAAGAGGGGAGTGGCGATTAGAGCAGTGCAATGGAAGTCTCCATCAGCTTTGAAGGTGGAGGAAGGCCATGAGCCATGAATGCAGGTGGCCTATAGAGGCTGGAAAAGTCAAGGAACTGATTCTCCTGGGTCTCCAGAGGGAACGCAGCCCTGCAGATGCCTTGATTTTAGCCCTCAAAAAACAGGGTCCGATTTCTGTCTCCAGAAACGGAAGGGGTCAGTGTGCTCTCTCCTGCTGCCATGCTTCTGATAATTTTCCACAGCACCAACAGGAAACCAACACTGGAACCCAGGTCAAGGACAAGATAAGAAAGGACACAAGGATAGCCGGGCGTGGTGGCAGGTGCATGTAATCCTAGCAACTCAGGAGGCTGAGGGCAGGAGAATCACTTGAACCCAGGAGACAGAGGTTGCAGTGAGCCTAGACCACACCACTTCACTCCAGCCTGGGTGAAGGAGTGAGACTCTGACTCCAAAATTAATTAATTAATTAAAGAAACCAAACAAAGAGAAGGTTGGCTACACCGAGATCAGCAAGGGTGGGATGATGATGCCACCACCAGGCTCCATCCACATAGGGAGGGGTTGATACTCCTCAAACCAGCACCAGAAGCCAGCCTATGGAAGCTGGCACCATGGAGAAGGCACAGGCATGGCAAGAGTGGCTCCCAGTCCCCACCAGGAACAGGGTGTGTGGACACTGGTGCCTGCCTTACTGATCAGTTCATACCTTCTGCCAAGGATTCCAATTCGTCCAAAAGAGATTGAACCAGTCTGCTAAGAGCCTGGACGTGCAGCCTATCCTGGTTCCTCTTCCACCCCCACATAGAAGCAGGAAAGACATTAGTTCGAAATAGATACAACAGCCCAAGAGATGAGGCTGAGCCCAGCGGCAAGGGAATCAGGAGCTACTAGAGACAGAGGGACAGAGAAGAGGGAGGGAGACAGATGGAAGGACCTGTACCAGGAGTTATGGGCACAGAAAAGAACATGAAGACACAGAGAGGAAGGAGAGAGATAAGACACCAGCGAGGGGAAGCCTCACTCATTCTAGGTGCCATGGATGGGATGATAAAGAGAGATGCCTTCTAAAGTCACAACCTCTCTTCCTAGGAGTCCACAGAAAACCTTCCCTCCTGGCCCACCCAGGTCCCCTGGTGAAATCAGAAGAGACAGTCATCCTGCAATGTTGGTCAGATGTCATGTTTGAGCACTTCCTTCTGCACAGAGAGGGGAAGTTTAATGACACTTTGCGCCTCACTGGAGAGCTCCATGATGGGCTCTCCAAGGCCAACTTCTCCATCGGTCGCATGACGCAAGACCTTGCAGGGACCTACAGATGCTACGGTTCTGTTCCTCATTCCCCCTATCAGTTGTCAGCTCCCAGTGACCCTCTGGACATCGTGATTACAGGTGAGAGTGTCTGGACATTATTCTCATTGTCACTGGGACACAGAGTGAATGATCCACGACTTGGAGGCCCAGGTGGTTATAAGGAAGATGAGCTTGGTATTCTTATGGAGAGAGACTAACTTGGTGAGGTCTGTACCAACAGAGACAGAGAAACAGGAGACACAAGTACAGACCAGGTGTCATAACAGAGGACAGACACAGGGGCCATACAGGGAGTTAGAAAAGACAGAAAGAGTTAAAGGAGACACAGACAGACATGTGCCAGAGAGAGGTGTCCTTCCATGCTGACTTTGCTCAGAGACCTGGCACAGGTTAGAAGTTTCATTTCTGTTTTACTTCCACAAAGTGTTCTCTACCAGAAGAACCCAAGGACACCCATATTTCTGGCCTGAGTTGGGCCCTGTGGCCTCAGGCCTTCTGGCACCTACAGATGCCGTGTTTATTCTGACACCTCTGCCTTCCATGCAATGGAGAGTAATCGTCCCAGGATATCATGGCCCCAGAACATCAACCCCTGTATACTGTGTGAACTTGCGGTCCCCAGACTGGATTCTGAGGCTCACATTCCAAATAACCCCACATATGAGAGGATCACTGAGAGACACAGAGAGAAATCAGGGACACCAAAAAGCAAAGACATAAACACACAGAGAATGAGCCAGAGGAAGGAGATTGAGAGACTCACAGACACATAAAGAGGGAGAAAAGAGGGCAGAGAAGTGGAGAGAACAATGGAAGGGAACAGAGAAAAGCACTAAAATTAGAGTCCTGAGGGAGAGACACAAGGACATAGAAAGATGGAGATGTGGGGATGAATTGCAGAGATTCCAAAGAGAACTAGAGAGACCGAGAGGCAGAGCAAGACAGATGATAGATGGATAGATATAGATAGATGATAAATAGGTAGATGATAGATAATAGGTTATAGATACATAGATGATGATTGATTCATTCATTGATTAATCGATGATACATAGAGATGATGAAGATGAAGATAGATAGATAATACATAGAGATAGAGAGGCAGACAAAGAGAAATCATAGAGAGAGAGAGACGATACATAGATATAGATAATAGATGATTTTTGGATAGACAATTGATAGATAAATAGATTATATATAGATATAGATGACAGGTAGAGAATTTGTAGATAGGCACCAAATAGATAAATAGATATATCGATAGATAATAGATAGAAATATGCAGAAAGTTATGAACAGGACACAAAGTGAGAAACTCAGAATTTAAAAAAAGTAACATCAAGTCAACTAGTCCAAGGAGAGTCAGAGAGAATAAAACAATCCAAAAAGGGAAAACATATCTAGAGGTGAGAAAGTGAGGTCAGAGACCTAGAGAGACAGAGAAGGTGGAAAGAGGAAATAGACATAAAGAGAGATGGTGTGGAGGGTGAGACAGAGAGAGAGAGCATTAGGCCATAGAGCAGGGGAGTGAGTTCTCAGCTCAGGTGGGAGGGGAGTTGTGACAAGGAAGAACCTCCCTGAGGAAACTGCCTCTTCTCCTTCCAGGTCTATGTGGGAAACCTTCTCTCTCAGCCCAGCCGCGCCCCATGGTTAAGGCAGGAGAGAGCGTGACCTTGTCCTGCAGCTCCCGGAGCTCCTATGACATCTACCATCTATCAAGGGAGGGGGAGGCTCATGAACTTAGGTTCCCTGCAGTGCCCAAGGTCAATGGAACCTTCCAGGCCAACTTTCCTCTGGGCCCTGCCACCCACGGAGGGACCTACAGATGCTTCGGCTCTTTCCGTGACTCTCCCTACGAGTGGTCAGACCTTAGTGACCCACTGCTTGTTTCTGTCACAGGTGAGGAAACCAGTCTGTTCCCCAAATAGTGGGACTCAGATGGACTACAATGGCCACATTCAGGGGAGCCTCAGATGGAGGGGGTGGCCATGGGGGTGTCAGCCAGAGACGCTGGACAGAAGAGACACAAAGCAAACATACAGAAAGAGGCATAGACAGACAGACAGAGCGAGGCAGACAGATCACATTAGGGTTTGGGGTGGTAACTGCAACCCTACCTGAAGCTTGCAGATAGAGCACAGGCCACATAAACCACTTCCCAGTCTTTGTACAGAAGCCCACCTGGGACACATGTAAACAGCATCAATGCTGACTCAGGAGCATGAAAGGCCGGGCTCAGATTGGAAAGACTAGAGGTAGCATTGGCCGCCCGCCATTGCCCATTTCCAGAAGCCCCCACCTCTCACCAAAGAGTGATTTCCACATGGGGGGCACAGATGCAACCATCGTTGGGGGAGCCCCAATGTCTCTTGATGGGAGGCATTTTCCACCCTAGATGTTTTTTGCTCTCTCCACACCTTGGAGACTCAGTGGGGGAGTCTTCTCTGGGGACTCGGGGAGGGCCTCCCTGGGACTCGCAGGATTTCCAAGCTAGATGACAACATGACAGGTGGAAACAGGCCCATTCCTTCGCCAGGGGCCCCAAGCTCCATCCCAGGAGATGAGAAGAGGCTCTTCTCATTGGTCAGTGGATCCCTGAGGGGACAGAGGCTCAGCACTGAAGGCTGAGAAGGATCTGCCACTTCGCTCAGTGGCCTCAAGCCAGACATCTTCCCTACAGACTTGCAGTGATTCTCCATCAGCATTTAGGGCTGTGGCCACCAACCTGGGTGTTGGTCTGTAGGAACTTTTCATTTCTGACCTTCCATAACTGAGTTCTCTTCCTAAATGTGGAATGCCTTGTACTCCATGTTACTCTCTCCCCAGAAAGAATGTGTGGCTTGTCTGCTCTCCAGCCCTGTCATGGAGATTGATAATCCTTAGGGAGCAAGAGGAGAGGGAAAGAACAAAGTATGAGACCACCTAGGTGCTACTGGTTGAGGTTCCATTTGCCAGTGAAGGGACTTCACTCAGCCGAGGGGGCAACTCAGGGAAGTCAGCCGAGGGAGGGCATTAGAGTAGAGAGAACTGAGCTCACCCAGTAAATGACCCCTTCACTAACTCATTCATCTAATATTTATTTCACACCTACCATCAGTTCTCTCTGTTTCATGGCCAGGAGTAGACAGCACGGCCAAGCTCCTGGGTTCATGATGCTCACATTGCTGTGGGGTGGGAGAGAGAGGCAGAACATGAATGAATGAATGAGAGAATGAATGAATGAGTGAATGATGGAATGAGTGAATGAATGAATGAATGAATGTATGAATTAGTGAGTGAATCCTTAGCACTTGGTGAAAGTGCCATGCACAGAATGAAATGAATGAACGTGGAACGTTGTCATTTGGAGTGTACAGGAGGGAACGTCTCACTGAGACCTCATCAGAGAGATCACATTTAAACTCCGATCTTAGAGACAAGAGGGAGTGAGCCCTGGGGAGTGTGTTGAAAGGAACTTTCATGGACTTAGGACATTGGGGATGACCCTAATGTGAGAATGAGCTTGGTGTGTTCCAAGAAGTCCATGGACCTGCCATATGGTGAGGGCTGGTCAGAATCCAGAGAGATTTCTAAATGCCCTTGTGCTTGTAAGGAAAGTGAGTCCTGTGGTTGGGAGTGGACTTATACCTTGGGTCAGGTCCAGCAATTATCTTTCTAAATCCTCTCTAATTGCCTGAACCACTTCTATCAACAACTGAGAAAAGAGGAGTGTTAAACACCCCACTGTGGCCGTGGATTTGCCTACCTGTCCATTTATTTCCGCGACTCTTCCTCCATGTATATTTGCAGGAATATTACTGGGAGTGGTTAAGTGTAAACTGATTATATATTCCTGGTAAATTTAAAATGCTATAAATTTACCTGCTTTTTTCCTACATTTTATGCTTAATGTTTTCCGCTGATTTTTCCCAAAGACTAATTTTGTCTAATTTTAATATAGTTATACCACATTTCTAACAGTGATTGCTTGGTATATTTCTACATTGTTTAATTTCAAACTCCATGAATTGTTAACATTGAGATGTGTCCTTTGTAAATTTCAAACAATTCGCCTTAGAAAGTAAGACTTTCTGACAATCTTTTGTTCATGTTTGAGCAGTTCTTCCAATCATATTTTTGTTATTATTACGTTGTGTTTTCCTGATTCCCTTTTTTTCCCACTGACTTCTGTGGTTTTCTATTTCAAACATTCTATTTTTGATCTATGTCGTTTAGGAATACATATATGGTGTACTCATCCTGAAGTTGTTACATATTTTTAAAATTGAAATTAATCATTTCAGAGATTAAACTGCAAATATAAAAACATATTTCCACTCTTCCTGTGTAAGAACAGGATTTTAGAGCATATTTAGTACATATGTTTGTATTTACTTATATGATGTTTTGTTTTGTGGTATACATAATTCTATCTTTTTCAGAAATTACACAGGGGCGTGTTTTCATACACTATCGTATGGTCCATATTCATTTTTGGCATAGCCATATTTTTAGTTCTTCCTCTGCTCTTAGTTATTGTCAGAATCTTCGACACCCCATCTGGTTTCACTTTCTTTATCTTTGAGGCACGGTCATCAGAATTTCCTTTAGGGTCAGTGAGAAAAGCTTTCTTTGCCCTTTTGTCTTTCAGTTCTGTTTCTTTCCTGCGTTGATCTTGGACAGTAACTGTACTATGTAAGGAATTGTCGGTGGCTGGCGACGGTATCTTAGCTGGGTAAAGATGCTATTCTACTGGCTTATGTTTTCCTTTTTTCTGTGGGGAAGACAATGCTTGGCTCCCTATAAATCCTTACCAGCTGATCCTTTTCCTCTGGCTAATTTTAAGGGTTGGTTGTGCTTTTATGCTGCTTTTCTGTAATGTTGAACGTGAGGTGTGTTTACTTCATTCTGCCTGGCATTCACTGGATTTCTTGAACCTGTGGATTGATGGATGTGTCTACTTCCTCCAAATAATCAACAATTGCCTCTTTAAAGATTGCTTCTGACCTGTTTTCTCGTTCTTTCTTTTTGGAACTCAAGTTAGGAGCATTCTAAAACTGTTGTCAATTTTTACCCTGTCACAAAACTGCTCTTTCTTGTTTCAGTTATTTGCTTTTTCTGTGCATTAATATTGATGGTTTCCTCTGTCATAGAGGATAAATACTCTCTTCACTGTTGTGTACACAACATTTTAACTAGTTATTCTGGTTTAAATTTAATATTGACTTTATCTACATATCACAATTGATTACTGTGTACAGACTTTCTTTTCTATTAGTATAAATTTATGAGGTACACTTGTAATTTTGTGACATGAGTATGTTGCAGAGTAGTGAAGTCAGGACTTTTACTATATCCATCACCCAAATACCGTACATTGTACTCATTAAGCAAATTCTCATCACTCACCCACGTCCCGCCACCCTCCAGCCTTCTAGCCTCCGCTGTCCGTCATTCCACACTCTACGTCCATATGTACACATTACTCCCCTCCCATGTAGAGTGAGAAGATGTGGTATTTGTCTTTCTGAGTGGTTTTATGTAAAATAATGGCGTCCAGCTCCATCTATGTTGCTGCAAAAGACATGGTTTTATTTTTATGACCAAATAGTATTTCGTTGTGTATACACGCATCCTTTTTTTAATCCAATCATTCATTCACAGACACTTAGATTGATTTCATATCTTTGCTATTGCAAACAGTGCTGCAATAAACATACAGGTGCAGGTATTTTTTGAGTAGATACCCAGCAGCGGGACCCCTAGATCGAATGGTGCTTCTATTTTTGGTTCTCTGCCAAATTTCCATACTGTCTTCCATAGAGGCTATACTAATTTACATACCGGCCAACAGTGTATAAGAGTTTCCTTTTCTCTGCATCCTTGCCAACACCTGTTATATGTTTCACTTTTTCTTTTTTTCTTTTTGAGATGGAGTCTTCCACTGTCACCCAGGCTGGAGTGCAGTGCCGCCATCTCCACGCGCTGCAACCTCCACCAACCAGGTTCAAATGATTCTCCTGCCTCAGCCTCCTGAGTAGCTGGGATTACAGAACCACACCACCATGCCCAGCTAATCTTTTGTATATTTAGTAGAGATGGGGTTTCACTATGTTGGTCAGGCTGGTCTCAAACTCCTGACCTCATGATCCACCCGCCTCAGCTTCCCAAAGTGCTGGGATTACAAGCGTGAGCCACCACTCCCCACCAGCATTTTTAGTAATAGCCATTCTGACTACTGTAAGATGATATCTCATTGTGGTTTCAATTTGCATTTCTCTGATGATTAGTGATGTTCATACGCTGTTTGGCCATTCGTATGTCTTCTTTTGAAAAATGTCTATGTATATCCCTTTGCCCACTTTTTAATGCTATTATTTGAGGGGTTATGTTTAGTTGTTTGAGTTGCCTAGAAATTCTGGATGTTAGTCCTCTGTTGGGTGCATAGTTTGCAAACATTTCCATTCATTCTGTGGGTTGTCTGTTCACCCTGCTACTATTTCCTTTGCTTGGCAGAAGCTCTTTCGTTTATTAAGTCCCATTGGTCTAGTTTTATTTTTATTGCCTGTGCTTTTGAGGTCTTAGTGATGAATTCTTTGCCCAGACCAATGCCCAGAAGAGTTTCTCTTTGGGTTTCCACCGGTGATTTTATAGTTCTGGATTTACATTTAAGCTGCTAATTACCTTAAGTTAATTTATGTGTATGATTACAGATACAGGTCCAGTTTTATTCTTCTGCATATGGCTATTTAGTTTTCCCAGCACCTTTTATTGAAAAGGAAATCTTTCTCCAGTGTATGTTTTGTTAACGTCGTCAATGATTATTCACTGTAGATATGAGGCTGTATTTCTGGGCTCTCTATTCTGGTCTATTGATCTCTGTTTCTGTGTCTATACCAGCACTGTGCTATTTAAGTTACTATAGCCTTAGAGCATAGTTTGAAGTCAGATAGCGTGATGCCTCCAGGTTTCTACATTCACCTAGAATTGCTTTCTCTATTAGGATCTTTTTTGGTTCTGTATGAATTTTAGGATTGCTTTTTCTAATTCTGTGAAAGCTGGTGTTACTATTTTCATATAAGAATTGCACTGAATCTGTAGATTGCTTTAGGCAGTATGGTCATTTTAACAATATTAATTCTTATGATCCATGAGCGTGGGATTTTTTTTCTTTTTTTTTTTTTTGTATTATCTATAATTGCTTTCATTGGTGTCTTACACCTTTCCTGGTACAGCTCTTTCACCACCTTGGTTAAATGTATTCCTGAGTGTTTTAATTTTGCGTATCTATTGTAAACGGCATTGCCTTCTTGATTTGGTTCTCAGCTAGATCATTATAGGTGTAGAGAAATGCTACCGGCTTTTACATATTGATTTTGTATTCTGAAACTTTACTTAGTTCATTTATCAATCATAAGAATTTTTGGCAGGGTCTTTAGGATTTTCTAGATTTAAGATCATAGCATCAGAAATAAAAATAATTTTACTTCCTCTTTTCTAATTTGGATTTTTAATTCTTCCTGTTGCCCAATAGCTCTGACAAGGCTTCCAGTACTATGTTGATAGGAAGTGGTGGATGTCCGTGTCCTTGTCTTGTGCCAGTTCTCAGAGGAGTGCTTTTAACTTTTCCTGTTCAGTATGATGTTGACTCTAGATATGTCATCTATGGCTTTTATTATTTTGAGGTATGTTCTTTCTATGCCTAAGTTTTTGAGGGTTTTCATCAGGTAAGGATGTTGAATTTCTTTTCAGATGCTTTTCTTTATGTCTATTGAGATGATCATATGGTTTTTGTTCTGGATTCTGCTCGTTCTTCTAAGTGGATGAGACATGCCAGAAAAGCATTTAGTCAGCCATCTTGGAAACAAGCATCTCAGATGTTTTCTTTCTCTATAGCTCATTCTTTCTTACCAGTGTTTTCAATTTTGTACTTAATTTTGTAAAGAGAGTAAATGATATAATTTCCACATATGTTTCCTCTGCCAAATCAGACTCACTATGCTTCCTTTCCTTGTATGCATAACCTACCCAGCAATACACACAAACATTTATTGCTTTGGAGAATTAGTTTGGGAACATTTTTGAAATGTACAAAAAAATGTATATCTTCAAAAGAAATTTCTTTTTGTGGCAAAAGACTTCTGAAGGTGCTCATGATGATATAGGGAGAAGAGGGGTTCTGGACAGGAAGAATTTTATGAAGGTGAGATGGGGAAATAGCTCCATTTCAGAGCTTCTGGGGAGAGAGGGGCCTGGCCCACATGGAAAGGTCTCTGATCTTACCCCCACCCTCCAGCCCCTGTTCTCCAGAACTATACTGTGGAGAGTTCCATCAGGATTGTTGTGGCTGGTCTGGTCTTCCTGGCTCTTTTGGCAATGCTGGCTAAGACCTGGTGGAGACATGAGGGGCCACAGGTGGAAATGGAAGAAACATGACTGAAGCTGGCTGGAGTGAATGGCGCGACATTCTGTCTGTGGGAGATTGGCCAGATGGGTTTCAAGTGTGTTGTATCAGCTGTGACTTTTAGTAATGTTCTTGCTACCACAATATCCACTCGTCCATCCCGAATAATTGTGATGAAATATTGTCCTTGGGATAATATTCATTTGCTAAAGACAGGGATGATACCTCAAGGTGCCACTATATACATCGAGGGGATCCACAAAAGTCCATTCAGTAAAATGTAGTTGGCATCTTAGGGTAGGTTGATTCCACCTCTAAAAAAGTAGGTACAACATCAGGTTGATTTTTCCGAAGAAAAGTGGTGATTGGCCATCTTTAGTCTCAATGTAAACGGTAATACTGATGAGTGTGGAAAAGGCAGGGAAGAGGATTGACAATAAGTGACACTCATTGTTTTCATCTGAGCTTTGAGACTGAAAGAGGAACACAGGAGTGAGATGTATGGGAACAAACCCCTTCTTTTTCCAGCTAAACAGAGTGGAAGTTGGACACTGAGTTTTGGCGTACAGCAAAATCCTAAGTCCATTGTTGGGTTGAACACGGCCATGTTGTACATCCTGGTTTCACAGCAGACACTGGAGGAAAACAGCCTGTATTCATAAGAGGCTGTCCCTCGGGTCACTGCCCAGAATATCCGGAGTTGGTGCTCACAGGGTTGGGAACTCTCCTGGACCAGACAGGCTCTGGATATGGGGGGGTACCAAGCTCCCCGGGGCCATGCCTCCACAGCTCTCTTCTCACCTCATTCTTGACCATTTCCCAAACCTCTGACCTCACCTTCATTCATCCATGGTGAACACGCTAAAGCTGGCCTTCAAAGCTTGAGACAGAGGAAAATTGGGCTTCATCTCTGGGAACTAAATTGGGGAGTGGAGACTCAGTTCTGGCCTGACAGGAGGGAGAAGACCCTGGATCCCAGTGTGGATGGGAAGAAGTATGTGTTTCTCTTTTGTGCTTGGACCCTGTGTCCAAGCATGTCTGAGATGTGATGAAGATGAATCTTCCTTTCCTTGTCTATTTTCTCATGCCAGAGAATTGGAATCTTATATTCCATTAACTCTTTCTGTTCTGTTCATCCAGATTCTATGAAGGAGAAAGGAAAAGATGTGATACTGTAATTTTGCTCCATTTGTCTAAAATGAGTAGGCTGCAACTCCTCTTGAAGTGATACCTTTTCTAGCTCTTGTTGGAGGTGTCTCAGGACTCATTACTTCGGGGAACCTGCAACTGTGTCAGTCTGGGGAAACTGCAAATATTCTTGTCTTACATTTGTCTCCAGCCAATTGTGATGGACTCCAGTGACCTGCAATTGCTGTTATTGCAGGTAAAATGTACCTGAGTCAGGCCACAGTTCTCCTGGACTATGAGCCCCTGGCCATGTTCCTGAGGCAATTCTGTTCATCTAAATATAATAATAATAACACACTAAAAATGGCAAGCCATTGTTAATTCCTGAAGTCTCATTTGAAAATTACTAAATGTCTGTTATTTTTTGGTGTTTACATTATATGTAGACAGATAAACTACACACACACACACACACACATGCACACAGAAGAATGGATTGGTTCATGTAGAAAAGTAAATAATTCAAGATGAAAGGATGAAATGTCATGGCACCTACTATTCTATTTTAGATAAAGGGTCTATGAAAAGATTGATTTCTTTTTATGTTTTATTTGTTGACATTTGAACACAAACTATGTAAGTGAGGGAGTCGATTTGAAAGGGAGAAGAGCAAGTTCAAACACATTCAGGTGAGGTCATGCTTTACATGTTTTAATTGAAATGATCCATCTTGGGAGTAGATCAATAACTGAGATGGTGCCAGGAATGTTAAAAAGCTTTTGTCAGTCCTAAATATTGACAAATAAAATTTAATTAAAGTCTTAGAAGAAAACACAAAGGAAAACTTCACAACATCGGATTTGGCAGTGATTCTTTAGATGTGACAACAACGGCACAGGCTACTACAGAAAAAATAAACAAGTTAGACTTTATGAAAATTTTGAAATATTGTGACTCAAAAGACAACATCAGTTACTTCACATGGCAAGGAAAAAGAACTTTTAAGACGATATTATCAAAGTAAAAAGACAACCCACAGAATGGGAGAAAATGTTTTCAAACCACACCACCTGTAAGGGATTAACATCCAGAATATACAGACAACTCCTAAAACTCAATCACAATAAACTCAATTCAAAAATGGGCAAAGTACTGAAACAGACATTTCTCCAAAGAACATACGCATGACAAGATATTCAGCATCACGAATCATTAGGGAAATACTAACTAAAACTACACCAGATGCCATTTCATACCCCTTAGGATGGGTATCATCAAAACAACAACAACAACAACAACAACAAAGTTTCTATACATTAACAACAAACTATCCAAAAAAGTTTACAAGAAAATAAGCCCATTTGCAATAACTACAGAAAACAAAACATGCAGGAATAAATTCACCCAAGGAGTAGAAAGATCTGTATGCAAAAGCTATAAAACATTGATGAAAAAACTCAAGAAATAAACAAATAAATCGAAAGATATTCCATGTTCACGGATCAGAAGGATTAATGTTGTTAAAATGTCCATTCTATCCAAAGTGATTCAATGCAACCATTATCAAAAATCCAATGACATTTTTTTTTACAGAAATAGAAAAAACAGTCCTAAAATTCATGTGGAACCACAAAAGATCTCAAATAACCAAAGCCATCTAGAGGGAAAGGAACAAAGTTGGAAGCATCACATTACCTAAACACAAACTACATTACAAAGTTACAGTAATTAAAACAACACAGTACTTGCATAAAAACAGACACATAGACCAATGGAAGTGATTCATAGCCCAGGAAAAAAAATGCACGCATTTAGGGTCAAACAATTTTTGGGATGTATCAAGAACACACAATGGAGAAGGAACAGTCTCTTTAATAAATGGGATTGGGAGACATGCAGAAGAATGGAAGTGGACATTTGCCTCACAAAACATACAAAGTCAACTCAAGATAGATTAATGACTTAAATGTAAGATGAAAGACTATCATCCCAGCAATTTGGGAGGCCAAGGCGGGCAGATCACCTAAGGTCAGGATTCCAAGACCAGCATGGCCAACATGGTGAAATCCCGCCTCTACTAAAAATACAAAAACAGCTGGGTGTGGTTGTGGGTGCCTGTAATCTCAGCTACTCGGGAGGTTGAGACAGGAGAATCACTTGAACCCAGGAGGTAGAGGTTGCAGTGAGCCGAGATCGCATCACTGCACTCCAGCCGGGGCAACAGAGTGAGACTCCATCTTAAAAAAAAAAAAAACTACTAAAAGAAATCAAGGGAAAACTCCACTGGCTTGGGCAAAACCATTTTGGATATTAACCCAAAGGCCCAGGCAACAAAAGCAAAAGTAGACAAATAACATTATATCAAATTGAAAGTTTCTGCAAAGAAAAAAAAAAACTCAACAAGTGGAAAGACAACCTATGGAATGGGAGAATATATTTGCACCCATACATCTAATAAGGAATTAATATCCAAAATATATAAGAAACTCAAACAACTCAATGGTAAGAAATCAAATAACCCAACTTAAAAAAATGGGCAAAGTATCTGAATAAACATTTCTAAGAATAAGACAAATCACCAAAAGGTATATGAAAAAATGATTAGCATTACTAAACATCAGCTAAATAAAAATTAAAACTAGAATGAGATATCACCTCACACCTCTTAGAATGACCATTAACAGTCTGGGCATGGTGGCTCATGCCTGTAATTCAGGCACTTTGGGAGGCCGAGGCAGGGAGATTACCTGAGGTCAGCAGTTCGAAACCAGCCTGGCCAATATGGTGAAATCCCATCCCTACTAAAAATACAAAAATTAGCAGAGTTTGGTGGCGCACACTTGTAGTCCCAGCTACTCTGGAGACTGAGGCAGGGGAATCGCTTGAACCCAGGAGGCAGAGGTTGCAGTACACCGAGATTGTGCCACTGCACTCCAGCCTGGGTGACAGAGCAAGACTGAGTCTCAAAAAAAAAAAAAAAAAGACCATTATCAAAAACATAAAAAATAACAAGGGTTAACGAGGATGTGGAGAAAAGGGAACATTTGTATGCAGTTGATGGGAATGTAAATTAGCACAACCATTATGGAAAACAGTCTGGAAGTTCCTGAAAAAATTAAACATAGAATTCCCATATGTGTCTGCAATCCAACTACTGCGCATGTATCCAAAGGAAGTGGAATCAGTATGTTGAAGAGATATCTGCATTCCCATGTTTACAGCCGCATTATTCATAACAGCCAAGATGTGGAATCACCCTTACTGCCCATCTATGGGTGCATGGACAAAGAAAACGTGGTATACGATAGGAACGTAATGAAGTACTATACAACCTTTACAACAAAGAAGGAAGTCCTCTCATTTGTGACAATGTGAAAAAACTTAGAGGACATTATGTTAAGGGAAACAATCCAGGCACAGAAAGACAAATGCCACATGATCTCATGTGTGGAGTGTAAGAAGTGGAACCTAGAGGAACAGTAAAATGGTCGTCGAAAGAACCTGGGAAGGAGAGAGATTGAAGAGATGTTGGTCAAAGGATGCAAAATTTCAGTTAGAAGAAATCGGTTCAAGAGATCTATTGTATGTCTTGGTGACTCCATTTAATAGCAACATATGGTGTATTGAACATTACTAAGAGATTAGATTTTACATGTTCTCACCACACACACAAAACATACAAGTATGTGAAAAAATAAATAGATAAAGAGGTTGTTTCATCCATTCCACAATGTGTACCTATATGAAAACATCATGATGGACACCACAAATACCCTTTTCCTCATTAATTAAATTTGTTTTGGCTTTTTTTTTGAGACGCAGTTTCACTGTTGTTGCCCAAGCTGAGGTGCAATGGCGTGATCTCCGCTCACTGCAACCTCTGCCTCCCAGGTTCAAGCGGTTCTCCTGACTCAGCCTCCCAAGCAGCTGGGACTACAGTTGCGTACCACCCCGTCCGGCTATATTTGTGTTTCTAGTAGAGACAGGGTTTCGCCATGTTGGCCAGGCTGGTCTCGAACTCCAGACCTCAGGTGATCCACCCGCTTCGCCCTCCCAAAGTGCTAGATTTCAGGCTGAGACACCACACCCAGCCTGTACATTGACTTTCTGCCCTTAAACTGTGCTGAAGTTTGTTTCTCAGATGTAGGAGCCTTTGGGCAGAGACTATGGGGTTTCTAGGTATAGAAATTATCTCATCTTCAAACAGAGGTAATTTGACTACCTCTCTCTGCTACTCTCTTCTTACTTGGATGCCTTATAATTCTTTCTCTTTCCTGATGGCTCTGTCTAGGACTTCAAGTACTATGTTGAATAGGATGGTGAGAGTGGGCATTCTTGTCTTGTTTCACTTATGAAGGGAACTTCTTCCAGCTTTTACTCATTCAGTATGATGTTGGTTGTGGGTTTGTCATAGGCGGCTCTTATTATATTGAGTTATGTTTCTTCAATGCTTAGCTTGTTGAGGGCTTTTAACATGAAGAAATGCTTAGTAAAAAGTATGTTCTACATGTGTGTTGAGAAGATCATGTGGTTTTTGTTTTTAGTTTTGTTTAGGTGATGAATCACATGTATTGATTGTGTATGTTCAACCAACCTTGCACCCTAAGAATAAAGTTGACTTGATCATGGTGGATTCACTTTTTGATATGCTGCGGGATTCAGTTCTTAGTATTTTTTGTGGATTTTTGCATCTATGCTCATCAGGAATATTGGCATGTAGTTTTCTTTTGTTTAATATTCTTTTCTGTCTTTAGTATCAGGGTGATGCCAGCCTTATAGAATGAGTAAAGGCCACCCTGGGCAAACAGTGAGACCCATCCCTTTTTAAAAATTATGAGTTTTACAAATTTAAAATGCATAGTGAAAAAGTTCTTACAAACTCCAGAAAGGTAGGTGTAAATAAGAGACATTTGTAAGAATGACAGCACATTAAATGTGTAGATTTCAACCTTCAGTTATTGCAATATTCCAGTATCAAGTTGGAGGATGTTATCAGTCTGATATTTTTTCCTCAAATGAGAGAGAGAAAGAAAGACACACAAACAACACAGGGAGAAAAAAAGCACACGTTACAGAGAGACAAAAAGGGAGACAGGGAACTGTGAATTTGGACTCTTGTGTCATAAGACAAATTCTAGATAACACGACCAGACCTTCAATTGACATATTGTGTTTTTGCTAATAAGGTGGAATTCTATGATGCGAAATAACTATATAGTCTTTTCTACTGGGATTTAAATCATTTTATCTGTTTCTGGCTTAACAGGAAAAATACAACCATGGAAAATTATGATGATTTATTTAATACGATTGCTCTATAGTGTTAATAAAACCTATTAGGTATTTTGCATATTACATATCAAGGAGAGTTTGAATCTCAGGTAGAAACAAAAAAAAATACATCAAAAGTTCCTCATGTGAGTGCAGAATTCAATCGTCCCGTGCAGGGGTAAGTGAGTCTGAGATGTGTTTTGAGCCTGGCCGTTGCGCATGATGTGAACTGACAAGTCTAGTCTGCAGTTTTCAGAAACCCTCATTCCTCCCTTGACTGACTCACCACTTGAACCTCATATGACGTAGAAGAAGCCTACCTATGTCCCCTTCACATGTTGTGGTCAATGTGTCAACTGCACGATCCGGGCCCCTCACCACATCCTCTGCACCGGTCAGTCGAGCCGAGTCACTGCGTCCTGGCAGCAGAAGCTGCACCATGTCCATGTCACCCACGGTCATCATCCTGGCATGTCTTGGTGAGTCCTGGAAGGGAAGGAGCACCAGGGTTACACTATGGGCCTGCAGATTGGGTGTCTCCCCAGCAGAGAGCCATGTTCTGAAGCAAGTGAGTGGTGAGGATGAGTTAATTTTCAGTCCAGCGTGGCGCCCAGTGGCTCAGGAGGAAAGGGTAGGTTGGTGCCGAGATGAATAGTTCATCATGATCTTTCTTTGCAGGGTTCTTCTTGGACCAGAGTGTGTGGGCACACGTGGGTGAGTCCTTCCCCAAATGATGGGTTGCCATCTTCACCCCAATACAAGTGAATTTTCCGGAAATGGGAGGGAGGCAGCACAGAGGGTGGGCTGATGGGCTGACCATGGGAAGGCCTGGGGGGAGTCTCTCATGAACTAGTAAGAGGAGATCCTGGGAGTCTCTCATGAACTAGTAAGAGGAGATCCTGGGAGTCTCTCATGAACTAGTAAGAGGAGATCCTGGGAGTCTCTCATGAACTAGTAAGAGGAGATCCTGGTATGCTCAGCCCTCTGTTTTGTCTTAGCCCTCCCCAGCCTTTCTTCCCCATGGCTGAGTTGAGCTCTGTGTGGCCCAGGCGGGATACTGAGGTGCTCAAAGCTGGGGTGTGTGGGGGGATGTGGTGTCACCGACAGAGGAGGGAAGGGTAGCAGTGTTAGGAACAGCAGGTCCTCTGAGGACAAGAGGGTAACTCACACCCTCCAGCGTTTCCATGACGGTAGGGGCTGCAGTGTGGCTGCTGTCATTCTGCCAGAAGAGGTGGGGGAACCACAGCCACGACCCTGCCATTCCAAATCCTCTGATGGAGCTCAGTTGTTTATTGTGGTTCAGGCATTAGCTAATATTCCATTCACAAAGGTCATACCCTCCACCCCATGTCTACTTTGTGTTGTTTGGTGTAACTAATCTTGCAGTATTAAAATCTAGTAAGAGTCCCTTACTCAGCACCTGCTCAGTTCTCAACTGACACTTTTGTTGTAGGGAGACGCCACGTCTATGCGGGATGGGTCCTTCCTGTAGCCCCAGGCACCCAGGTGTGGTAGGAGCCTTAGAAAGAAGAAATGGGGAGAATCTTCTGAGCACAGGGAGGGAGGGGCAGCTCAACATACTCCTCTCTGAGGCGGCATCTCCTTCTCCCCAAGGTGGTCAGGACAAGCCCTTCTGCTCTGCCTGGCCCAGCGCTGTGGTGCCTCAAGGAGGACACGTGACTCTTCGGTGTCACTATCGTCGTGGGTTTAACATCTTCACGCTGTACAAGAAAGATGGGGTCCCTGTCCCTGAGCTCTACAACAGAATATTCTGGAACAGTTTCCTCATTAGCCCTGTGACCCCAGCACACGCAGGGACCTACAGATGTCGAGGTTTTCACCCGCACTCCCCCACTGAGTGGTCGGCACCCAGCAACCCCCTGGTGATCATGGTCACAGGTCAGAGGGCTCCTGTCTGGGCTTCTCCTTGTCCCACCTCCTGAGTCCCAGAGCTTCTGGTGGGGGTGTCCACCAGAGTCCGATCATCCAGGCCCCAACTATATTTGGGGTAAAGGGGGATTGAATACAGGGGAATGGGTGCTGTGTTGGAAAGAATAACTGTCCCCATCGATGGCCACATTGTAATCCTTGGAGCCTGTGACTATGTTATAGGGCAGGGGACTGAAGGGGAAGATGGAGCTCAGGTTGTTGATGAGTTGACCTTGAGATGGGGAGATGGCCTGGACTCTCCCACTGGGCTCAGTGTAATCACAAGGGTCCATATGAGTGGAGAAGGAAGAGGAGAATGGGGATTAGAGCAGCATCGTGGGATACTCCACCAGCCACTGTGGGCTTTGAAGGTGGAGGAAGACCACGAGCCACGAAGGGGCTGGAGAAATCAATGGAACTGATTCTCCCGAGTCTCCAGAGGGAATGCAGCCCTGCAGATGCCTTGATTGTAGCCCAGGAAGAACAGGGTCTGATTTCTGTCTCCAGAAGTGGAAGGGGTCAGTGTGTTCTCTCCTGTCGCCATGTTTGTGATAATTTTCTCCAGCAACAACAGGAAACCAACACAGGAACCCAGGTGAAGGACAAGTTAAAAAACCAAACAAGAAGGTTGGCTACCCTGAGATCAGCAAGGGTGCACTGCTGATGCCACCACCAGGCTGGAACCACATAGGGAGGGATCGACAGGAAGAGTTGGGGGTGGAGGGTGAGAGAGAGAGAGAGAGCACTAGGCCATAGAGCAGGGCAGTGAGTTCTCAGCTCAGGTGGGAGGGGAGCTGTGACAAGGAAGAACCTCCCTGAGGAAACTGCCTCTTCTCCTTCCAGGTCTATATGAGAAACCTTCGCTTACAGCCCGGCCGGGCCCCACGGTTCGCACAGGAGAGAACGTGACCTTGTCCTGCAGCTCCCAGAGCTCCTTTGACATCTACCATCTATCCAGGGAGGGGGAAGCCCATGAACTTAGGCTCCCTGCAGTGCCCAGCATCAATGGAACATTCCAGGCCGACTTCCCTCTGGGTCCTGCCACCCACGGAGAGACCTACAGATGCTTCGGCTCTTTCCATGGATCTCCCTACGAGTGGTCAGACGCGAGTGACCCACTGCCTGTTTCTGTCACAGGTGAGGAAAGCCAATGTCTGTCCCATGTCCTATGGTCCTAGAGCCTTAGCTGAGGAGCTTCCTGCTGATGATGGAGAGAAGCATGGACAGATGTGGAGAGAAGATGCAGCATGGTGTGAGGGTGGGATCAGGGCACAGGATGGCAGACAGGGCACCTCCAAACCCTCCTGCATGGCCTGCATGGAAGCTTGCAGTAAGGGCTCCGGGTACCCAGGCAGATGGAGAAAGTGGTCAGGACAGACCCAGAGGAGGGAGACTGGGCTCAGTTTGGGGAGATCAGAGGTTCCCTCAGCCCCTCAACCTTACCCATTTCCCAGAAGCCCACCCTGGCCTCTCACCTACACAGAGATGTCATCACCAGCAACCCCTACACTTTTTCTTTTCCTTTGAAAAAATGCTGATTGAGGTTAAATATACCTATATAATTTATCAACTTTACCATTTTTAAGTGTAAAATCTAGGGATCATAAATACCTTTATATGCTGTGTGCGGTGGCTCACGCCTGTAATCTCAGCATTTTGAGACGCCAAGGCAGGTGGATCATTTAAAATCAGGGGCTGGAGACCAGCCCGGCCAACATGGGGGAACCAATCTTTACTAAAAAGACAAAAAAAATAAAATTAGCCAGGCATGGTGCCAGGCGCCTATAATCCCAGCAACTTGGGAGGCTGAGGCGGGAGAGTGGCTTAAACCCAGGAGGAGGAGGTTGCAGTGAGCTGAGATCATGCCACTGCACTGCAGCCTGGTGACACAGAGAGACTCTGTCTCTAAATAAATAAATAAATAAATACTTTTATATTCTTCTTTTGTTACCCTCCACCCCTTCCTTCCTAACCTCTGGTATCCACCATTCTACTCTCTACCTTCATGAGGTCCACCTTTTACATCCTGCATGTGAGTAAGAAATGGCAATCCTTGTAATGACCTCTAGTCCATCCATGTGGCTGCAAATGACAGGACGTTACTCTTTCTATGGATGAGTTGTCTCCATTGTGTGTATGTACTACATTCTCTCTATCCATTCATCCACTGATGGGCAGGTAGGTTGACTCCACATCTTGGCTACTGTGAACAGTGCTGGAACAGTCATGGGAGTGCAGATGTCACTTCAATACACTGAAGTCCTTTTCTTTGCATTTACACCCACTAGTGGAATTGCTAGATCCTCTGGATGTTCTCTTTTTAGGTTTTGTTTTATGCTTTTTGTTTTTTTGACATAGCGTTTCACTCTTGTTGCCCAAGCTGGAGTGCAATGGCACCACCTGGGCTCACTGCAACCTCTACCTCCAGGATTCAAGTGATTCTCCAGCCTCAGCCTCCCGAGTAGTTGGGATTACTGGTGCCCGCCACCAAGCCTGGCTGATTTTTGTATTTTTAGTAGAGACGGGGTTTCACCATGTTAGCCAGGCTGGTCTCGAACTCTTGACCTCCAGTGATCTGCCCACTTCAGCCTCCCAAGGTGCTGGGATTACAAGCGTGAGCCACAGTGCCTAATCTCTTTTCAGTTTTTAAGGAACTTCCATATTCTTCTCCTCTGTAATGGCTGTATTAATTTACATTCCTATCAACAGTGTATCAGGGTTCTCCTTTCTCCACCACCTTGCCAACATTTGTTTTGTCTGTCTCTGAGATAAAACCCATTGTAATGGGGTGAGATGATAGCTCATTGTGACTTCATTTGCATTTCTCTGATGATTAGTGATACTGAGCACTTTTTCATATATGCAATGTATATATGTTCATTTGTATGTTTTGTTCATTGAGAAATGTCTGTTCAGGTCTTTTACTAATTTTATAATTAAATTATTAGTTTTATTGAGGTGTTTGAGCTTCTTTTATATTCTAGTTATTAATCCCATCTCAGATGCATAGTCTGCAAATATTTGCTCCCATTCTGTGGGTTTTCTCTTCTTCACTTCATTGGTTGCTTCCTTTGCGGTGCAGAAGCTGCTTGATTTGATATAATCCCAATGGTCTATTTTTTTTGTTGTTGTTGTGATTACTTGTGTTTTTGAGGTTTTAAACAAAATGTCTTCCCTCAGACAAATGTCCTGGAGCATTTCTCCAGTGTTTCCTTTTAGACATTTAATGGATTCAGGTCTTAAGTCATTAATCCATTTTCATCTGATTTTTGTGTATGGTGAGAGGTAGAGGTGCAGTTTCATCCCTCTGCATGTAGATATCCAGTTTTCCCTGCACCATTTATTGAAATGACTGTCCTTTCCAGATTGTAGATTCTTCGAACCTTTGTCAAAGTCCATTGGATGTAAATGGGTGGATTACATCCGTGTTCTTCATTCTGCTTCATTGTTTTATGTGCTTTTCTTTATGCCAATGTCATGTTGTTTTGCTTACTACAGCTCTGTAACATATTTTTAAGTCAGGTAGTGTGATGCTCCTGTTTTCTCCTTATACCTTGAAGTCTCAAGATAGTTGGTGTCACCTACAATGATTATGGAGAATGGGATGCCAGGACTCCCAGGGCCCAACATTAGATAATAGAAGGTTGGCCATGAACCAACCTCAAAGATTTCCATTGAGTAGAAAAGACAGGCATCCTCATTGCCACACCTCTCTCCTGTCCCATGTTCTAGGAAACCCTTCTAGTAGTTGGCCTTCACCCACTGAACCAAGCTTCAAAACTGGTAAGTGAAGGACCCCTCTTATCTCTGCTTTTGGAAACCTGGGGAGGTAGAAGCCTTGGATTCAAGCGTTGGCTCAGCACCTGCCAGCTCTGTGATTGTGGGCCTGTCTTCCATTGTCTCTGAACCCCAGACACTCCAACAGCGAAAGGGATCTGGGCCCAGCACAGGGCTCAGTGAAATCTCTTAATCTCTAATTTTCTGCTGCTGAGACCTCAGGGTAGAAGGATGAGTGCAAATCAGACATTCTTCTCAGGAAAAATGCTGTGTTTGTTCTGCCTGCATTCCTAACTGGGAGGACAAATGCCTGGGGGCTTGAGAAGGGGAAGGAAGGGGAACATTTTTGAGGGTGGTGTGTTTGTAGAGAAGTTCTACTTGCCAAGGAATGAGCTCCTGTCTGTCATGATCCAACCCTGGTTGACTTAGTGGAACAAGAGCTTTGCGGTAAGAGAGAACGTAGTTCATCCGTGCACATGACACTTCCACTTACTCGTTCAGCCACTGCCCCATGCTCAGACTGTGCAGTGTGGAACTTTTTCCTATGTTGCCATAACAAATTTCCACAAGCTTCGTGGATGGAAACCACATTTTTAAAAAATATCTCATGGTGCTGTAGCTCAGAAGTATGAAATGCATCATCTCACTGGGCTAAAATCAAGGTGACAGCAAGGCTGCCTTCCCTCTGAATGTTCCAGGCAAGAATCTGCTTCCTCACTTTTCCCAGCTCCTAGAGGCTCCCACATTCCTTGGCTCCTGGTCCCCGTCTTCCTCCCTCAAAGTCCACAAAGGCTGGTCACGCCTCTCACACGGCATCACTCAGACCCTTCTTCCTTGTCCACACCTCTTTCTCTGAATGCTGCTCTGCCTTCTTCCTCATCTTTTAAGGACTTTGGCATTCTATTGGAAACACCAAGATAATCCATCATAATTTCCCTAAAATCATCTAGGATACCCTCCTTTTAAGGTTAGCTGATTAGCAACCGTAATTCCATCTGCAATCTGCATTCCTTTTTTCCATGTAAAATAACATATTCACAAGATATGGCGACTAGGACAGGAACATTTTGGGGTGGGGCGGCATTCTTATCCTTTCCACAAATGGTAAACAAGGTGCATTTGGCCTCTGCTCTTGGACACTGATATTGCAAAGGATTAAATGGGAGGGCAGAAAATGAATACACCAGTGGACCAATAAATGAATGATCCATTGGGAAGCATCTGTGCATGAGAATGATTGATTGATTGGTTGTTTTTATGAGACGGTGTCTCCCTCTGTGCCCCAGGCTGGAGTGCAGTGGCGGGATCTCGGCTCACCGCAACCTCCACCTCCCAGGTTAAAGCGATTCTCTACACTCAGCTTCCCGAGAGGCTGGGATTACACCCATGTCCCACCACGCCTGGCTAATTTTTTTTTGGTATTTTTTTTTAGTACAGACAAGGTTTTACCATGTTGCCCAGGCTATCTCAAACTCCCAACCTTAAGGGATCCGCCCGTCTCAGCCTCCCAAAGTGCTGAGATTAGAGGCGTGAGCCAAGGCGCCGAGCCGTATTTTAAAAGAAATAATAGATAATGCTGAGTGTATAATTTCGGGTGACAGAGAAGTTCTCACTGATCAAATAATACTTGTGACCTTAATGAAAAAAATAGATCAACCCCTGGAAGATTGGCGGAAGGATTTTCCACACAGCTGTCAGCCGTGAAGGCACAAAGGTGAAAACAATGTTATGTGGAAGGAAGAGGCTCTGCCTGAAATGCTGGGAATGACATGGGGAGAATGACAAGACGACTGTGGAGAGACAGAGAGCACTCTGGGTACACAGGAAACTAAGGAGGAACAAGGAGCGTGTGTTTGATACTCACAGCCATTGGACTTACCTCGGGGCTAACTGGGAATCCCTACATGATGAATAGTGACTGACATGAAAATAAGGGAGGCCCAGGTGCATAACTGGAATCTAGGAGACTGTGGAAAAGGCAATTCCCGCCCCCCTGGTGAAATGTGGTGCTGATTTAGACACTAAATGAATGAAAGATGGACACAAGATGTGTTTGTGAGGTAGAGTAATTTGCAGGGAGGGCTTGCCTGGTTTGATTTTTCCTAATTGTTTAATCTTCACTTCATTGATTTCTTTCTGAGATTTATTTTTCCTACATGTAAATCAATACTTGGCAGAGGAGTGAGAGATACATGAGGGGTGGTGCAAAGGAAGAGACCTATTATAATATAACACACAAGGTTCTGAACGGTGGCTCACACCTGTAACCCAACATTTTGGGAGGCTGAGGAGGCTGGATCAAGTGAGATCAGGAGTTCGAGATCAGCCTGGACAACATGGTGAAACCCCATCTCTACAAAATATACAAAAACTAGCTGGGGGTGGTGGCGCGTGCCTGTAATACCAGCTATTCAGGAAGTTGAAGAAGGAGAATGGCTTCAACCAGGGAGGGAGAGGTTACAGTGAGCCAAGATCGCGTCATTGCACTGCACCCTAGGTGACAGAGTGAGACTCCATGGCAAAAAATAAAAATAAAGAATACATAAATATAATATAACATACACGAATGACAAAGGCACACCAATTCCAATCATCATTTTTCTATTTCTCTATAATGACTTCTTTGATCCTTTATCCTATCCATAAGAAAATCAGGCGAAAACATCTTCCTTATTTGGCTTTCTGTGAGCATGAGATCATATGGAAAATGTGAAACCCACCAGCACAGGTCCTGGAATAGAGAACGTGATCTGTTCATGGCACAAAACTTGCCCCTTCACCCAAATCCCCCACCTCACCCCTACTTCCAATCACATTAATGATACAGATAGATCATGGGGAGGTAAAAACTAATATTCTTTGGAGTTCAGATCGTAGACTCAGAGACCAGTGCCAGCACTATCTCCTGGTCACCTTTTGGAGTAATTCACAGAAAGACAGGCTGTATTGAAGCAACAGATGATGGAGGGGGTGGTCTTTCCCCCAGACTCTCGGGTGGAACAGCAGCCTAATATCTGACTCCCAAGATGACAAAAGTAGCATGTTGCCCACGAGCTTCATCATTATTTCCTGGCTGTTTGATATAAGACAGCTCAACCTCACTTATGTTGATTTCAATGTCACTGTTTTTTCCTTTTCTTGGAGAATGTAATTTGTTTGAGTCAAGAGGGTTGTGGATGTAGAAACTGTAAAGCACATTCACTGTGTATCAATCCCAGTCCAGTCTTCCCAGAGAAGACTCTAAACACCTCCCATACTGCACCTGGGCCTGTGCCAATTTCTATCACTCACCATCACTCCAGGGAGACAGAACACACAGGGAATACATTACATAGGCAGGTTCATTACTTATAGATAAGCAGCGAGTGACAACAGAAACCTTCCTTTCAGGGTGAGCCAGTCCCTCAAGGCTCAGAAAAACTGCTCAGGACACATGGAGTCACTTCATGTGCACTGTAGCTGGGGGAAGCCAGAAAGCAGCCCAGCCTGGGTTTTGTACCCTGGAGCCACAGGGAACACTCAGCTAAAGCACTGCATGATGTTCTCCTCCAGGAAGAACAGGAAGACAGCCCAGGCTGTTCTGAGACGTTCCTCCTGATCTCAGGATGTTGCTGTCTTAGCCTATTTTTGTTGCTATAAAAGAACACTTGAGCCTGGGTATCTTCTAAAGAAAAGAGATGTGTTTGGCTCACTGATCGGCACGCTGTACTAGAAGCAGGACACTACCATCTATTTCTGGCTGCGGCCTCAGGCTGCTCCCACACTGACAGAAGAGAAGGGGGTCCTGCGTGTGCAGAGACCACAGAGATCACATGGCAAGAGAGGGAGAAAGGGGGTGTGATGGAGCTTCCAAGCTCTTTTTAAGAATCAACTCTCCAGGGTACTAATAGAGGGAGAACTTGCTAAACCCGTCCTCTGGGGACAGCATTAATCTATTCATGATGGATCCACCCCCATGACCAAAACACCCCTCCCAATAGGCACAACCTCCCACACTGGGGATTAAATTTCAAAGTGGGGTTTGGAGGGGTCAAACATTGAAACAATAGCAGTTGTATCATCAGCACATTCTATTGTTATTATGAAAACTATAACGGAGAAAGCAGGAGAAAGCTGGGTCTCCCGCCTCGTGGGTGCTTGTCCTAAAGAGGTGTTTTATGTGGTTGCCTGGCAACCAAGAAATGAGAGACAATCCACAAAGAGGAACTGCTATGGTTAGCTTCTTATTGGATTCTCATCTTCCTCCAGGTATCGCCAGACACCTGCATGCTGTGATTAGGTACTCAGTGGCCATCATCCTCTTCACCATCCTTCCCTTCTTTCTCCTTCATCGCTGGTGCTCCAAAAAAAAAAGTAAGCCTCACGAAGCAGAGGCCAGAGAACTCAGGGCCCTGTGCGGAAGCAGGATGGGAGCACGCAGGTGTGTGTTCCTCACTGGCAGGAAAGTCTCTGGCCCAAGGCAGGAGCCAGAGGCAGAGCTTTCTAGAGAGAGCACCAGACACCCTGCCCCTGCCTTCAGCTCACAGACCATTGCCTGATTGTGAACTGTATCCTCACGTCCCCTGCAGCCACTCACATCCAGGAGAAGATTCCATGACAGGCAGAAAGTGGGAGATAGAATCAATGGGATGGGAACTGACAGCTATTCATGGAATGGGGTCTTGCACTCAGAGAGATGGAATGTCTGAGTCTGGCTGTTGGCAGCTGAGGGACCTCAGGCACCTATGGCCTCCCCCTGTGTGTTGGTATCTGTTCATGAAATGAGGACCCAGAAGTGCCCTCCCAGCTGTTTTGATTGCTTCCGTCTCCTACAGATGCTGCTGTAATGAACCAAGAGCCTGCGGGACACAGAACAGTGAACAGGGAGGTAGGTCCTCCTAGCCCAGCCTCATGGATACAGTCTTATTCCCTAATAGTCCTGAAAAATGTGAACACCCTCCCTCACTCAGGATTTCCCTCTCTCCAGGACTCTGATGAACAAGACCCTCAGGAGGTGACATACGCACAGTTGGATCACTGCATTTTCACACAGAGAAAAATCACTGGCCCTTCTCAGAGGAGCAAGAGACCCTCAACAGATACCAGCGTGTGTATAGAACTTCCAAATGCTGAGCCCAGAGCGTTGTCTCCTGCCCATGAGCACCACAGTCAGGCCTTGATGGGATCTTCTAGGGAGACAACAGCCCTGTCTCAAACCCAGCTTGCCAGCTCTAATGTACCAGCAGCTGGAATCTGAAGGCGTGAGTCTCCATCTTAGAGCATCACTCTTCCTCACACCACAAATCTGGTGCCTGTCTCTTGCTTACCAATGTCTAAGGTCCCCACTGCCTGCTGCAGAGAAAACACACTCCTTTGCTTAGCCCACAATTCTCTATTTCACTTGACCCCTGCCCACCTCTCCAACCTAACTGGCTTACTTCCTAGTCTACTTGAGGCTGCAATCACACTGAGGAACTCACAATTCCAAACATACAAGAGGCTCTCTCTTAACACGGCACTTAGACACGTGCTGTTCCACCTTCCCTCGTGCTGTTCCACCTTTCCTCAGACTATTTTTCAGCCTTCTGGCATCAGCAAACCTTATAAAATTTTTTTGATTTCAGTGTAGTTCTCTCCTCTTCAAATAAACATGTCTGCCTTCATTCTTTAGGTGACTCTTTTTTTGGCTGAAAGTTTCCAGTGTTATCATTACCATGTCCAAATAACTCCAACTGTTCTCCACTGGGTTCTCACCCCTGGACTCTGAGCTTCTGGAAGCAGGGTGGAGCCTGATTTGTCTCTGAGACTCCAATTTCCATCCAAAGATGCAGCACATAAGAGGTTCCAAGGATCGTGAATCACATGAACAAGTGATATTCTTACTCTCTGCAGACCTGGAAAGCTGGCAGAGTCATTCCATGATGAAACATTTGTAGAGTCATAGGCCTTGTCAGTCTCATCTCCACGGGGACACATATCAACACATCATCTTTCATACTATAAATATACAGTCGGTCCTCTGTATCTGTGGGATTTACAGGTGTTTATTGAACCAAATATAAATCAAAAATATTCAGAGAAAAAATCCACAAAGTTTCAAAAAGCAAAACTATGTTGAATGGACACAAATGAAGCTGTGTGTAGGCTGTATCAGGAATTATAAATAATCAAGGGATGATTTCATGTACACAGGAGGATGTGCATGGGTTATTTGCAAATGCTGTGCCATTTCATGTAAGAGGCTTGAGCATCTGCAGATTGTGCTATCTGAGTGGAGATCCTGAAACCAATCACCCACGAATAGTGAGGGATGACTGTATATAATTTTTATTTCTCAATTTTAAATATAAAACATAAAAAAATTACAATAACAAGATAAAATAAACAAGTGTTTTATAGTGTGAGAATACTTTTAGATATATTTTTCTCCATGTGTAACCCTTGGGCCCATGTTATTTATTGAGAAGACATTCTATTCCACCTTAAACCACATGGCAGCCTTTGTCAACTATAAAGGGACTGTGTGTACACGGATGTATTTTAGACACTGTTTTCTGCTCAGTGGCTCTCTCTCTGTCCACTCTCTTGAGAATGCTGCATTTTATGCAGCCTTATACAACCCCTAAAATTTGGTAGCTGGAGTCCTCTAGTTATTTATTATAGGCTATTTGCTATGCTTTTTTTATTTTTCTTGAGGCAGAGTCTCGCTCTGTTGCCCAGGCTGGAGTGCAGTGGCACGATCTCGGCTCACTGCAACTTCCGCCTCCCAGGTTCAAGGGATTCCGTGCCTCAGCCTCTTGAATAGCTGGCATTACAAGTGCCTGCTACCAGGCATGGCTAATTTTTGTATTTTTAGCAGAGACATGGTTTCACTATATTGGCCAGGCTGGTCTCAAACTCCTGACCTCGGTTGATCACTCACTTCGGCTTCCAAAGTGCTGGGGAAATTGATTTTCTATAGCATTATGTTACTGGATATTTCTGTAAAATTTAAAATGAGGGAGGCAGAGAGACAGAGAGAGAGCAAACCATGAGTTGGAACTCTGGAATCTTGGGACATGAGACAAATTCTAGATAAATCTACAAAAATCCAGAATTTACATGTTGTGATTTTTGCTGATAAAGTACAATTCTAAGATTGTAAATAATTGCATAATCCTTCCCTGGGAGTTTAAATCATTTGAACTGGTTCTGCTGTAATACTAGAAATACAATCATGAAAAATTCTAATGGTTTATTAGTCACAATTGCTCTGAAAACCTTAATAATACCTATTAGATATTTTGCATATTACACAGGAAGAAGAGTTTGAATCTCAGATAAAAGCAAAAAAAATACATGAAAAGTCTTTCATGTTAGCACAGATTTTAGGCATCTCGTGTTCGGGAGGTTGGATCTAAGACGTGTTTTGAGTTGGTCATAGTGAAGGACGCGAGGTGTCAATTCTAGTGAGAGCAATTTCCAGGAAGCCATGTTCCGCTCTTGAGCGAGCACCCACTGGGCCTCATGCAAGGTAGAAAGAGCCTGCGTACGTCACCCTCCCATGATGTGGTCAACATGTAAACTGCATGGGCAGGGCGCCAAATAACATCCTGTGCGCTGCTGAGCTGAGCTGGGGCGCGGCCGCCTGTCTGCACCGGCAGCACCATGTTGCTCATGGTCGTCAGCATGGCGTGTGTTGGTGAGTCCTGGAAGGGAATCGAGGGAGGGAGTGCGGGGATGGAGATCTGGACCTGGAGGTAAAGATATGGGCCTAGAGGTGGAGTTATGGGCCTGGAGGTGGAGTTATGGGCCTGAAGTGGAGATCTGGGCCTGGAGTGGAGATCTGGGCCTGGAGTGGAGATAGGGGCCTGGGGTGGAGATATGTGCCTGGAGTGGAGATCTGGGCCTGGAGTGGAGATATGGGCCTGGGGTGGAGATATGTGCCTGGGGTGGAGATATGGGCCTGGAGGGGAGATATGGATGGGCCTGGAGGGGAGATGTGGGCCTAGAGGTGGAGTGATGGGCCTAGAAGTGGAGCGATGGGCCTGGAGTGGAGATATGGGCCTGGAGGTGGAGTTATGGGCCTGCAGTAGAGATATGGGCCTGAAGTGGAGATATGGGCCTGGAGTGGAGATATGGGCCTAGAGGTGGAGTTATGGGCCCGGAGGTGGAGTTAAGGGCATGAAGTGGAGATCTGGGCCTGGAGTGGAGATATGATCCTGGAGTGGAGATATGGGCCTGGGGTGGAGATACGGGCCTGGAGCAGACATACAAGCCTGGAAAGGAGATATGGGCCTGGAGAGGAGATAGAAGCCTGGAGTGGAAATATGGGCCTGGAGTGGAGATATGAGCCTGGAGTGGATATATGAGCCTGGAGTTGAGATAGGAGCCTGGAGTGGAGATATGGGCCTGGAGTGGACTTATCAGCCTGGAGAGGAGATATGGGTCTGGAGTGGAGATACGGACCTGGAGTGGAGATCTGGGCCTGTTGTGTAGATCTAGGCCTGGAGGTAGAGATCTGGGCCTGGAGGCTGAGTCTCTGCACAGCCGAGATCCTTGTTCCTGGGGGCAGGTAGGCAGCGAGGGTGAGTTTACCTTCAGCCCAGCAAGGGCCTGGCTGCCAAGACGCACAGCCCAGTGGGGGCAGCAGGGTGCCCTGGTTTGCCTGCAGATGGATGGTCCATCATGATCTTTCTTTCTAGGGTTCTTCTTGGTCCAGAGGGCCGGTCCACACATGGGTGAGTCCTTCCCCAAACCTTAGGGTGTCATCTCCCCACATAAGAGGATTTTCCTGAAATGGGAGGGAAGTCCTGTCGGGGAGTCTCTCATAAACTAGGAAGAGGGGACCCTCGGATGCTCGGCCCACATTTCTGACCTTGCCCTCCCCGGCCTTTCTTTCCCTTTCCTGAGTCAAGCTCTGTGAAGACTGGGGTGAGACTAGGGTGCTCCAAGATGGGTGTGCAGGGAGGAAGTGGTGTCAGCAGCAGAGAAAGAGAGGGAAGCAGTGCTAGGAACAGCAGGTCCTCTGAGGACAAAGGTGTAACTCACACCCTCCAGCGTTTCCGTGATGGTAGGGGCTGCAGTGTGGCTGTGGTCTTTCTACCAGAAAAGGTGAGGAAACCACAGCCATGGCCCTGACATTCCAAATCCTCTGATGGGGGCTCAGTTCATCAATTGGCTGATATTCCATTCACATAGGACTTGCCCTCCATGCCGTGTCTACTTTGTGTTGTTTTATATGAGTAATTTTGCAGTATTAAAATCTAGTAAGAGTTGCTTCTCCAGCACTTGCTCAAAGTTCTCAGCTGACACTTGTTGTAGGGAGACGCCATGTCTATGCAGGATGGGTCCTTCCTGTAGCCCTGGGCACCCAGGTGTGGTAGGAGCCTTAGAAAGTGGAAATGGGGAGAATCTTCTGGGCACTGGGAGTGAGGGGCGGCTCCACATCCTCCTCTCTAAGGCAGTGCCTCCTTCTCCCCCAGGTGGTCAGGACAAGCCCTTCCTGTCTGCCTGGCCCAGCGCTGTGGTGCCTCGAGGAGGACACGTGACTCTTCGGTGTCACTATCGTCATAGGTTTAACAATTTCATGCTATACAAAGAAGACAGAATCCACGTTCCCATCTTCCATGGCAGATTATTCCAGGAGAGCTTCAACATGAGCCCTGTGACCACAGCACATGCAGGGAACTACACATGTCGGGGTTCACACCCACACTCCCCCACTGGGTGGTCGGCACCCAGCAACCCCGTGGTGATCATGGTCACAGGTCAGAGGCTTTCCGTCTGGGCTTCTCACTGTCCCACCTCCTGAATCCCAGAGCTTCTGGTGGGGGTGTCCGTCAGGGTCCCATCACCCAGGCCCTGACTGTATTTGGGGTCAAGGGAGATTGAATACAGGGGAAATGGGTGCTGTGGTGGGAAGAATCACTGTCCCCAATGATGGCTACATTGTAATCCCTGGAGCCTGTGACTATTTATGTTACAGGGCAGGGGACTGAAGGGGAAGGTGGAGCTCAGGTTGTTGATGAGTTGACCTTGAGATGGGGAGACAGCCTGGACTGTCCCACTGGGCTCAGTGTAATCACAAGGGTCCACATGAGAGGTGGAGGAAGAGGGGAGTGGGGATTAGAGCAGTGTAGTGGGAGGGAGACGCTATCAGCCACTGCGGGCTTTGAAGGTGGAGGAAGACCACTAGTCACAGAATGCAGGTGGCCTCTAAGGGCTGGAGAAGTCAAGAGAACTGATTCGCTGATTCTCCAGAGGGAACGCAGCCCTGTAGACACCTTGATTTCAGCACAGGGAGAACTGGATCCAATTTCTGTCTCCAGAAGTGGAAGGGGTCAGTGTGTTCTCTCCCGCTGCCATGTTTGTGGTAATTTTCTGCAGCAGCAACAGGAAACCAACACAGGAACCCAGGTCAAGGACAAGTTAGGAAACCAAACAAGGATAGCCAGATGTGGTGGTGGGCGCGAGTAATCCAACGACTGGGGAGGCTGAGGCAAGAGAATCACTTGAACTGGGGATTTGTTCAAAAGAGATTGATTCAGGCTGCTAAGAGCCTGGACATGCAGCCTGTCCTCTTCCACCCCCACATAGACAGCAGGAAAGAGATTAGTGGGAAACAGATACAACAGCCCAAGAGATGAGGCTGTCTTCACAGTGGCAAGGGAGTCAGGGGCTACTGGAGACAGAGGGACAGAGAAGAGGGAGGAAGACAGATGGAGGCACCTGCACCAGGGGATATGGGCACAGAAAAGACACGGAGATGCAGAGAGGGAGGAGAGAGACAGACACGGGGAGGGGAACCCTCACTCATTCCAGGTGCCATGGATGGGATGATAAAGAGAGATGCCTTCTAAACTCACAACTTCTCTTTCTAGGAAACCACAGAAAACCTTCCCTCCTGGCCCACCCAGGTCCCCTGGTGAAATCAGGAGAGAGAGTCATCCTGCAATGTTGGTCAGATATCATGTTTGAGCACTTCTTTCTGCACAAAGAGGGGATCTCTAAGGACCCCTCACGCCTCGTTGGACAGATCCATGATGGGGTCTCCAAGGCCAATTTCTCCATCGGTCCCATGATGCTTGCCCTTGCAGGGACCTACAGATGCTACGGTTCTGTTACTCACACCCCCTATCAGTTGTCAGCTCCCAGTGATCCCCTGGACATCGTGGTCACAGGTGAGAGTGTCTAGACATTGTTCTCATTGTCACTGGGACACAGAGTGAATGATCCAGGACTTGGAACCCCCAGGTGGTCATGAGGAAGATAAGTGTGGGATTCTTATGGAAAGAGAGTGACTTGGTGAGGTCTGTACCAACAGAGACAGAGAAACAGGAGACATAAGTA
Organism: Homo sapiens; assembly: GCF_000001405.40. NCBI lineage: Eukaryota > Metazoa > Chordata > Mammalia > Primates > Hominidae > Homo > Homo sapiens. The sequence goes on along the minus strand of NT_187645.1, from coordinate 48,897 downwards.
CAGAACAGGTGTCATAACAGAGGACAGACACAGGGGCCATACAGGGAGGTAGAAAAGAGAGAAAGAGGTAAAGGAGACACTCAGACAGACAGACATGTCCCAGAGAGAGGTGTCCTTCCATGCTGACTTTGCTCAGAGACCTGGCACAGGTTAGAAGTTTCATTTCTGTTTTACCTCCACAAAGTGTTCCTACCAGAAGAACCCAAGGACACCCATATTTCTGACCTGAGTTGGGCCCTGTGGCCTCAGGCCTTGTGCCACCTACAGATGCCGTGTTTATTCTGACACCTCTGCCTTCCATGCAATGGAGAGTAATCATCCCAGGATATCATGGCCCCTGAACACCAACCCCTGTATGCTGTGTGAACTTGGGGTCCCCAGACTGGATTCTGAGGCTCATATTCCAAATAATCCCACATATGATAGGATCGCTGAGAGACACAGAGAAAAATCAGGGACACCAAAAAACAAAGACATAAACACACACAAAATGAGCCAGAAGAAGGAGATTAAGAGATTCACAGACACATAAAAAGAAAGAAAAGAGGGCAGAATGGAGAGAATGATGGAAAGGAGGAGAGAAAAGCCCCAAAATCAGAACCCTGAGGGAGGGACACAAAGACAGAGAAAGATAAATATGTGGGGATGGATTGCAGAGATTCCAAATAGAACTAGAGAGACTGAGAGGCAGAGAAAGACAAGGAGACGGAGAGAGAGAGATGATAGATGGATAGATAGACGTAGATAGATGATAAATAGGTAGATGATAGATAATGGATTGGTTATAGATACATAGATGATGACTGATAGATGATACATAGAGATGACGATGATGATGATAGACACATAGATATATACATAGATGATACATAAATAGAGACAGAGAGGCAGACAGAGAGGTAATAGAGAGAGAGATAGATGATACATATATAGATAATAGATGATTGATGGATAGATAGACAGATAGACAATTGATAGAGAGATAGATAAGTGATACATAAATATAGATGATAGATAATTTGTAGATAGACACAAAATAGATAAATAGATAGAAATGTGCAGAAAGTTATGAACAAGACAGAAAGTGAGAGACTCAAAATTAAAGAAAAAGGAAGATCAAGTCAACCAATCCAAGGAGGGTCAGAGAGAATAAAACAATCCAAAAAGGGAAAACATACCTCAGGGTGGGGAAGTGAGGTCATAGACCTAGAGAGACAGAAAAGGTAGAAGGAGGAAACAGATATGAAGAGAGATGGGGTGGAGGGTGAGAGAGAGAGAGAGAGCATTAGGTCATAGAGCAGGGGAGTGAGTTCTCAGCTCAGGTATGAGGGGAGCTATGACAAGGAAGAACCTCCCTGAGGAAACTGCCTCTTCTCCTTCCAGGTCCATATGAGAAACCTTCTCTCTCAGCCCAGCCGGGCCCCAAGGTTCAGGCAGGAGAGAGCGTGACCTTGTCCTGTAGCTCCCGGAGCTCCTATGACATGTACCATCTATCCAGGGAGGGGGGAGCCCATGAACGTAGGCTCCCTGCAGTGCGCAAGGTCAACAGAACATTCCAGGCAGATTTCCCTCTGGGCCCTGCCACCCACGGAGGGACCTACAGATGCTTCGGCTCTTTCCGTCACTCTCCCTACGAGTGGTCAGACCCGAGTGACCCACTGCTTGTTTCTGTCACAGGTGAGAAAAGCCCATATCTCTCTCATGTCCTATGATCCTAAATCCTTAGCTAAGGAGCTTCCTGCTGATGATGGAGAAAAGCATGGACAGATGCAGAGAGAAGACACAGCAGGTGTGAGGGCGGAGTCAGGGCGCAGGATGGCAGACAGGGCACCTCCAAACCCTCCTTCATGGCCTGCATGGAGGCCTCCGATCAGGGCTCCAGGCACCCAGGCAGATGGAGAAAGCGGTCAGGACAGACCCAGAGAAGGGGAGACTGGGCTTAGTTTGGGGAGATCAGAGGTTCCCTCAGCCCCTCAATCTTATCCATTTCCCAGAAGCCCATCATGGCCTCTCACCCACACAGAGAGATATCATCACCAGCAACCCCTACACCCTTTTCTTTTCATTTTCAAAAATATTTATTGAGGTTAAATGTAACTATATAATTTACCACCTTTACCATTTTTAAAAGTAAAATCTAGTGGTCATAAATACCTTTATATGCTGGGTGTGGTGGTTCACGGTTGTAATCTCGGCGCTTTGAGAGGCCAAGGAAGGTGGATCATTTAAGATCAGGAACTCGAGATCACCCTGGCCAACATGTGGGAAATTCATCTTTACTAAACAGACAAGAAAAATTAGCCGAGCATGCTGGCATGCACCTGTAGTCCTAGCTACTTGGGAGGCTGAGGCAGGAGAAGCACTTAAACCCAGGAGGCAGAGGTTGCACTGAGCCGAGATCATGCCACTGCACTGCAGCCTGGGAGACAGAGAGAGACTCTGTTTCTAAATAAATAAATACATCTATATTCTTTTTTTTGTTACCCTCCACCCTTCCCTTCCTGGCCTCTGGTGTCCACCATTGTATTCTCCACCTTCATGAGATCCACCTTTTATCTCCTGCATGTGGGTGAGAAATGGGAATCTTTGTAATGACCTCCAGTTCCATCCATGTGGCTGCAAATGACAGGATGTTATTGTTTCTATGGATGAGTAGTCTCCACTGTGTGTGTGTACCACAGTTCTCTATCCATTCACCCACTGATGGGCAGGTAGGTTGACTCCACATCTTGGCTACTGTGAACAGTGCTGGAACAGTCATATGAGTGCAGATATCACTTCGATACACTGATGTCCTTTCCTTTGGATATAAACCCAGTAGTGAAATTGCTGGACACTATGAAAGTTCTCTTTTTTTTTTTTTCTTTTTTGAGAAAGAGTTTCCCTCCTTAGTCCAAGCTGGAGTCTAAGTGGTGAGATCTTGGCTCATTGCAACCTGTGCCTCCTAGGTTCAAATGATTGTCCTGACTCAGCCTCCCTAGTAGCTGTGATTACAGGTGCACGCCACCATGCCTGGCTAATTTTTGTATTTTTTTAGCACAGACGGGATATCCCAATTTTGGGCAGGCTGCTCTCAAACTCCTGACCTCAAGTGAGGTGCCTGCCTCGGTTTCCCAAAGTGCTGAAGTTACAGGCATAAGCCACTATGCCCAGCCTCCTTTTAGTTTTTTAAAGAATTTCCATACTTTTCTCCATAATAGTTGTACTAATTTACATTCCTACCAACAGGGTACCAGGGTTCTCCTTTCTCTACCATCTTGCCAGCATTTGTTTTGCCTGTCTTGCAGTAAAAGCCATTTTACTTTACTTTATTTTATTTATTTATTTATGTTGAGATGGAGTTTCACTCATAGTCTCCCAGGCTGGAGTGCAAGGGTGTGATCTCAGCTCACTGCAACCTCCGCCTCCCGCGTTCAACTGATTCTCCTGCCTCAGCCTCCAAAGTAGCTGGGATTACAGGCATGTGCCACCACGCCTAGCTAATTTTTGTATGTTTAGTAGAGAGGGAGTTTCTCCATGATGGTCAGGCTGGTCTCCCGACCTCAGGTGATCCGCCCACCTCCGCCTCCTGAAGTGCCGGAATTACAGGCGTGAGCCACCGGCCTAAAAGGCATTTTAATGGGATGAGATGAAAACTCATCGCGATTGTAATTTACATTTCTCTGATGATGAGTGATGCCGAGTACTTTTTCATATACGTGATCGCCATTTCTATGTTTTGTTTGTGGAGAAATGTCTCCTCATGTCTTTTGCTCGTTTTTTAATTAAATTGTTTTATTGAGTTGTTTGAGCTTCTTATATTTCCAGTTATTAATCCCGTCTCAGATGAATAGTTTGCAAATATTTGCTCCTATTTTGTCGGTTGTCTCTTCACTTTCTTGGTTTATCTTTTGTGGTGCAGAAGTTGCTTGGTTTGATGTAATCCTAATGGTCTATTTTTTGCTTTGATTACTTGTGTTTTGAAGGTTTTAAACAAAATGTCTTTCGTCAGACAAATGTCTTCCCCATTATTTTCTTCTACATGTTTCATAGGTTCAGGCCTTAGACTCATGTTTTTAATCCATTTTCATTTGATTTTTGTGTATGGTGACAGGTATAGATGCAGTTTTATTCCTCTGCATGTAGATATCCAGTTTTCCCCACACCATTTATTGAAAAGACTGTCCTTTCCTGATTGTAAGTTCTCGGCACCTTTGTCAAAGTCCATTAAATGGGCTGGGTATGGTGGCTCACACCTGCAATTCCAGCACTTTGGGAGGCCGAGGCGGGTGGATCACCTGAAGCCAGGAGTTCAAGATCAGGCTGGCCAACAGAGTGAAACCTCGTCTCTACTAAAAATACAAAAATTAGCTGAGCATGGTGACCAGTGCCTGTAATACCACTACTCGGGTGTTTGAGGCAAGAGAATTGCTTGAATCCAGGAAGTGGAGGTTGCATTGAGCTGAGATTGCACCTCTGCACTCCAGCCTGCATGACAGAGCAAGATTCTAACACACACACACACAAAAAAAGCCATTGGATGTAAATGCATGGATTATATCTGTGTTCTCCATTCTGTTTCATTTTTTATGTGCCTTTCTTTATGCCAATGTCATGCTGTTTTGCTTACTACAGCTCTGTAACATATTTCTAAGTCAGGTAGTGTGATGCTCCTGTTTTCTCTTTATACCTTCAAGTCTCAAGACAGTGGGCATCGCACACAAAAATTATGGAGAAGAGGATCCCAAGACTCCCAGGGTCCAACATTAGATAACAGAGTGTTGGCCATGAACCAACCTCAAAGATTTCCATTGAGTAGAGGACAAGCACCCTCATTTCCTCACATCTCTCCTGTCCCATGTTCTAGGAAACCCTTCAAGTAGTTGGCCTTCACCCACAGAACCAAGCTCCAAATCTGGTGAGTAAAGGACCCCTCTTATCTCTGCTTTTGGAAACTTGGGGAGGTGGAAGCCTTGGATGCAAGTGTTGGCTCAAACCTCCCAGCTCTGTGAATGAGGGCCTGTCTTCCACCATCTCTGAACTCCAGACACTCCAACAGTGAAAGGGATCTAGGGCCACCAAAGGGCTCAGCGAAGTCTCTTAACCTTTAATGTCCTGCAGGTGAGACCTCCTACAAGCTAGAAGAATGATTGCCAATCTGACATCCTTCTCAGGAAACATGCAGTGTTTTTTCTTCCTGCATTCCTAACTGGAGGATAAATTCCTGGGGACTTGAGAGAGGGAAGGGAAGGGAACATCTGATGAGGGCGAGGTGTTTTAGAGAAGTTCCACTTGCCAAGGAATGAATTACTGTTGGTCATGAAGCAACCCTGGCTGACTCAGCAGAGCAAGAGCCTTGCCGTAACAGAGAACAGAGCTCATGCACGCACACTTCGACTCACTGACTCATTCAGCCACGGCCCCATGCTCAGGCTGTGCAGTTGGAATCCTTTCCTATTGTTGCCATAACAAATTTCCACAAGATTCGTGGGTGAAAACAAAACGGTTTTTTAATTATCTTACAGTGCTGTAGCTCAAAGTAGGAAGTGCATCTTACTGGGCTAAAATCAAGGTGACAGCAAGGCTGCCTTCCCTCTGAGGATTCCAGGCAAGAATCTGCTTCTCACTTGTCCCAGCTTCTAAAGGCTCCCAGTTCCTTGGCTCCTGGTCCCCTTCCTCCTTCCTCAAAGCCCACAAAGACTGGTCACATCTCACATGGCATCACTCAGACCCTTCTTCCTTACCACACCTCTTTCTCTGAATGCTGCTCTCCCTTCTTCCTTATCTTTTGAAAACTTGGGGATTCTATTGGGTTCACCAAGATGAAAATCCATCATAATCTCCCGGAAATCATTCAGGATACCCTTGTTTTAAGTTCAGCTGACTAGCAACCGTAATTCCATCTGCAATCTTCATTCCTTCTTTCCATGTAAAATAAGATATTCACAAGCTATGGAGGCTAGGACAGGGACATTTTGGGGTGGGACAGCATTCTCCTGCCTTCCACGAACGGTGAACAAGATGCATTTGGCCTCTGCTCTTGGGACACTGATATTGCAGATGGTTAAATGGGAGGACAGAAAATGAATGCACAAGTGGACCAATAAATGAATGATCCATTGGGAAGCATCTGTGCATGAAATCTATTTGTTTGTTCGTTCATTTATTTATTGAGACAGAGTCTCCCTCTGTCTTCCAGGCTACAGTGCAGTGTCACGATCTTGGCTCACTGCAACCTGCGTCTCCTGGATCCAAGTGATTCTCCTGCCTCACCCTCTCGAGTAGCTGGGATTACAGGCAACTGCCACCATGCCCGGCTAATTCTTTTTGTATATTTTTTGTAGAGAGGATGTTTCACCACGTTGGCCAAGCTTGTCTGAAACTCCCAACCTCAAGTGATCCGACCATCTCAGCAACCCAAAGTACTGGGATTACAGGCGTGAGCCACTTTGCCCAGCCAGAATTCAAAATAAATAATAGATAATGCTGAGTGTATAATTTTGGGTGACAGAGAAGGTCTCACTAATCAGATATTTGTGACATTAATGAAAAACACGGATTGAACCCCTGAAAGATTGGCGGAAGGATTTTCCACACACAGCTGTCAGCCGTGAAGGCAGAAAGCTGAAAACAATCTGATGTGGAAGGAAGAGGCTCTGCCTGAAATGCTGGGAATGAGGTGGGGAGAATGACAAGACGACTGTGGAGAGACGGAGAGCACACTGGGTACACAGGAAACTAAGGAGCAACAAGGAGTGTGTGTTTGACACTCACAGCCATTGGATTCACCTCGGGGTAGCCAGGAATCCCTACATGATTAATAGTGACTGACATGAAAATAAGGGAGGCCCAGGTGCGTAACTGGAATCTAGGAGACAGTGGAAAAGGCAATTGCCGCCCCACTGGTGAAATGTGGTGCTGATTTAGACCCTAAGTGGATGAAGCAGATGGATATAAGCTATGTTTGGGAGGTAGAATCATTTGCAGGGAGGGCTTGCTGGGTTTGAGTTTCCTAGTTGTTTAATCCTTGCTAAATTAATTTCTTTCTGAGATTTATTCCTCCTACACATAAATCAATACCTGCCAAAGGAGTGACAGATATATGAGGGGTGGTGGAAATGAAGGGACCTATTATAGCATAGTATACAAGTCTGTGAACGGTGGCTCACTCCTGTAACCCAGCACTGCAGGAGGCTAAGGCCAGTGGATTCCAAGAAGTCAGGAGTTCGAGACCAGCCTGGCCAACATGGAGAAACCCTATCTCTACATGGTGAAACCCTATCTCTCCTAAAAATACAAAAATTAGCCGAGCATGGTGGTGCATCCCTGTAATCCCAGCTCCTGCTCTGGAGGATGAAGCAGGAGAATGACTTCAACCCAGGAGGTGGAGGTTGCAGTGAGTGGAGATCGCATCACTGCACTCCAGCCTGGGTGACACAAGGAGACTCCATCTCAAAAAATAAAAATAAGAAATGCATAAATATAATAAAACACACACGAATGACAAAGGCACCTGAATTCCCATCATCATTTTTCTATTTCTCTATAATTACTTCTTTGATCCTTTATCTTATCCATTAGGCAATCAGCCTAAAACCTCTTCCGTATTTGGCTTTCTGTGAGCATGAGATCATATAGAAAATGTGAAAGCCCGCTGAATCCTCCAGCACAAATCCTGGAATAGAGAAAGTGCTCTGGTCATCACAAAAAAAACTTGCCCCCTCACCCAAATCCCCCATCTCACCCCTACTTCCAATCACCTGTGGAGATACAGATAGATCATGGGGAGGTAAATGCTAATACTCCTTGGAGTGAGTCCAGATCTTGGAATCAGAGATCAGTGCCAGCACTAGCTCCTGCTCCCCTTTCCTACTAATTCACAGGAGGACAGGTGGTATTGAAGCAATAGATAGTCGAGGGGGTGGTCCTTCCCCCAGCCTCTGAGGTAGAACAGCAGCCTAACATGTGTCTCCCGAGATCACAAAGAGTAGCACATTTCACACGGGCTTCAACACTATTTTCTGGCTGTTTGACATAAGAGAATTCTACTTCGCTTTTTTTATATTGATTTCACTTTTGTTTCCTTTTCTTGGAGAATGCAAGTTGTTTAACTCAAGAATGCCGTGGATGTAGAAATCCTAAAGCACATTCGCTGTGTATCAATCCCAGTCCAGTCTTCCCAGAGAAGACTCTAAACACCTCCTGGACTGCACCTGGGCCTATGCCAATTCCTATCACTCACCGTCACTCCAGGGAGACAGAACACACAGAGAATACGTTACATAGGCAGGTTCATTACTAACAGATAAGCAGCGAGTGACAACAGAAGCCTACATTTCAATGTGAGCCAGTTCCCCAAGGCTCAGAAAAGCTGCTCGAGACATGTGGAGTCACCCCATTTGCAGTGTAGCTGGGGGAAGCCAGAAAGCAGCCCAGCCTGGGTTTTGTACCCTGGAGCCACAGGAAGCACTCAGCTAAAGCACTGCATGACGTCCTCCTCCAGGAAGAACAGGAAGACAGCCCAGGCTGTTCTGGGACGATCCTCCTGATCTCAGGACTTTGCTGTCTTAGTCCATTTTTGTTGCTCTAAAGGAACACTTGAGCCTGGGTAACTTCTAAAGAAGAGATTGGTTTGCCTCACCATTCTGCAGGCTGTACTGGAAGCATGGCACCAGCATCTATTTCTTATGATGGCCTCAGGCCGCTCCCACTCTGGCAGAAGGGAAGGAGGGTCTGTCTGTGCAGAGACCACAGAGATCACACGGCAAGAGAGGGAGCAAGGGGGAGGGGGAGCAATGGAGCTTCCAAGCTCTTTTTAACAACCAGCTCTCCAGGAACTAATAGAGAGGGAACTTGCTAACCCCGTCTCCTTGGGACAGCATTGATCTGTTCATGATGGATCCACCTCCATGACCCAAACACCTCCCAAGAGGCCCAACCTCCCACACTGGGGGTTAAATTTCAATGTGAGGTTTGAAGGGGTCAAACATCTCAACTAAAGTAGTTGTATCCTCAGCACGTTCCATGGTTACTATGAGAGCTATAACTGAGAAAGCAGGAGGAAGCTAGGTCTCCCGCCATCTGGGTGCTTGTCCGAAAGAGATGCTGTAAGTGGTTACCTGTCAATCAAGAAATGCAAGACAATTCATATAGAGAAACTGCTATGATTAGCTTCTTACTGGTGTCTCCTCTTCTTCCAGGTAACCCCAGACACCTGCACATTCTGATTGGGACCTCAGTGGTCATCATCCTCTTCATCCTCCTCCTCTTCTTTCTCCTTCATCTCTGGTGCTCCAACAAAAAAAGTAAGTCTCACGGGGCACAGGCCAGAGAGCTCAGGGCCATGTGGGGAAGCAGGATGGGAGCACACAGCTGTGTGTTCCTCACTGGCAGGATGGTCCCTGGCCCAAGACAGGAGCCACAGAGGCAGGACTTTCTAGAGAGAGCACCAGACTCCCTGCCCCTGCCTTCAGCTCACAGACCGTTGCCTGATTCTGAACTGTATCCTCATGTCCCCTGCAGCCACTCACATCCAGGAGAAGGTTCCATGAGAGGCAGAAAGTGGGAGACAGAATCAATGGGATGGGAACTCAGAGCTATTCATGGGATGGGTCCTTGAGCTCAGAGAGATAGAATGTCTGAGTCTGCTGTTGGCAACTGAGGGACCTCAGGCACCTATGGCCTCCCCCTGTTTGTTGGTATCTGCTTATGAAATGAGGACCCAGAAGTGCCCTCCGAGCTCTTTTGTTGACTTCCGTCTCCTACAGATGCTGCTGTAATGGACCAAGAGCCTGCAGGGAACAGAACAGCCAACAGCGAGGTAGGTGCTCCTCGGCCCAGCCTCGTGGCTAGTGTTATTCCCAAACAGTCCTGGAAAACGTGAGCACCCTCCCTCACTCAGCATTTCCCTCCCTCACTCAGCATTTCCCTCTCTCCAGGACTCTGATGAACAAGACCCTGAGGAGGTGACATACGCACAGTTGGATCACTGCGTTTTCACACAGAGAAAAATCACTCGCCCTTCTCAGAGGCCCAAGACACCCCCTACAGATACCATCTTGTACACGGAACTTCCAAATGCTAAGCCCAGATCCAAAGTTGTCTCCTGCCCATGAGCACCACAGTCAGGCCTTGAGGACGTCTTCTAGGGAGACAACAGCCCTGTCTCAAAACCGAGTTGCCAGCTCCCATGTACCAGCAGCTGGAATCTGAAGGCGTGAGTCTTCATCTTAGGGCATCGCTCCTCCTCACGCCACAAATCTGGTGCCTCTCTCTTGCTTACAAATGTCTAGGTCCCCACTGCCTGCTGGAAAGAAAACACACTCCTTTGCTTAGCCCACAGTTCTCCATTTCACTTGACCCCTGCCCACCTCTCCAACCTAACTGGCTTACTTCCTAGTCTACTTGAGGCTGCAATCACACTGAGGAACTCAGAATTCCAAACATACAAGAGGCTCCCTCTTGACGTGGCACTTACCCACGTGCTGTTCCACCTTCCCTCATGCTGTTTCACCTTTCTTCGGACTATTTTCCAGCCTTCTGTCAGCAGTGAAACTTATAAAATTTTTTGTGATTTCAATGTAGCTGTCTCCTCTTCAAATAAACATGTCTGCCCTCATTGCTTCAGGTAATGTGACACTGTATTCGCTGAAAGAAACCGCTGTTATCATTACCATGTCCACATAACCCCATCTGTTCTCCGCTGGGTTCTCACCCCTGGATTCTGAGCTTCTGGAAGCAGGGTGGAGCCTCATTTGTCTCTGGGACTCCAATTTCCATCCAAAGATGCAGCACATAGGAGGTTCCAAGGATCGTGAATCACATGAACAAGTGATATTCTTACTCTCTGCAACCTGGAAAGCTGGCAGAGTCATTCCACGATGAAACATTTGTAGAGTCATAAGCCTTGCTAGTCTCATCTCCACGGGGACACATATCAACACATCATATTTCATACTATAAATATACAGTCGCTCCTCCATATCTGTGGGGTTTACAGGTGTTTATTGAACCAAGTGTAAATCAAAAATATTCAGAGAAAATGTCCACAAAGTTTCAAAATGCAAAACTATGTTGAATGGACACAAATGAGGCAGTGTGTAGGCTGTATCAGGAATTATAAGTAATCAAGAGATGATTTCATGTATACAGGAGGATGTGCATGGGTTATATCCAAATGCTGTGTCATTTTATGTAAGAGGCTTGAGCATCTGCAGATTTTGGTACCTGAGTGGAGATCCTGAAACCAATCACCCACGAATAGTAAAGGATGACCGTATATGACTTTTATTTCTCAATTTTAAATATAAATCATAAAAAATGTACAATAACTAGATAAAAAGTAAGAAGTGTTTTTATAGTGTGAGAATAAGTTTAGATTTATTTTTTCCTACGTGTAACCCTTTGGTTTAATATTATTTATTAAGAAGACATTCTATGCCACCTTAAACCACACGGCAGCCTTTGTCAACTCTAAAGGGACTGTGTGTACACGGATGTATTTTAGACACTGTTTCTGCTAAGGGGCTCTCTGTGTCCACACTCTTGAGGATGCTGCACTTCATGTAGCCTTATAAAACCCTTTAAATTTAGTAGCCAGAGCCCTCTAATTTGTTATTATAGGCTACTTGCTATTTTTTTTTCTTGAGGCGGAGTCTTGCTCTGTCGCCCAGGCGGGACTGTAGTGGAGCAATCTCAGCTCACTGCAACTTCCGCCTCCCAGGTTCAGGCGATTCTCGTGCCTCAGCCTCTTGAGTAGCTGGCGTTACAGGTGCCTGCCACCAGGCACGGCTAATTTTTGGATTTTTAGCAGAGACACGGTTTCACTATGTTGGCCAGGCTGCTCTCAATCTCCTCATCTCAGTTGATCCGCCCACCTCGGCTTCCCGACCTGCTGGGGGAAACTTGATTTTCTATAGCATTATGTTACTGGATATTTCTGTAAAATTTAAAATGAGGGAGGCAGAGAGACAGAGAGAGAGCAAACTCCAAAGTTGGGACTCTGGAATCTTGAGTCATGAGACAAATTATAGATAAAACTACAAAAATCCAGAATTTACATGTGTGGTTTTTGCTGATAAAGTACAATTCTAAGATTGTAAATAATTGCATAATCCTTCCCTGGGAATTTAAATCATTTGAACTGGTTCTGCTGTAATACTAGAAATACAAGCATGAACAATTCTAATGGTTTATTAGTCACAATGACTCTGAAAACACTAATAATACCTATTAGATATTTTGCATATTACACAGGAAGAAGAGTTCGAATCTCAGATAAAAACAATAAAAATTCATGAAAAGTCTTTCATGTTAGCACAGATTTTAGGCATCTCATGTTTGGGAGGTTGGATCTAAGACATGTTTTGAGTTGGTCATAGTGAAGGACGCGAGGTGTCAATTCTAGTGAGAGCAATTTCCAGGAAGCCATGTTCCGCTCTTGAGCGAGCACCCACTGGGCCTCATGCAAGGTAGAAAAAGCCTGCGTACGTCACCCTCCCATGATGTGGTCAACATGTAAACTGCATGGGCAGGGCGCCAAATAACATCCTGTGCGCTGCTGAGCTGAGCTGGGGCGCGGCCGCCTGTCTGCACCGGCAGCACCATGTCGCTCATGGTCATCATCATGGCGTGTGTTGGTGAGTCCTGGAAGGGAATAGAGGGAGGGAGCGTGGGGATGGAGATCTGGGCCCAGAGGTGGAGATATGGGCCTGGAGGTGGAGTTATGGGCCTGGAGTGGAGATCTGGGCCTAGAGATGGAGTGATGAGCCTAGAAGTGGAGATCTGCGCCTGGAGTGGAGATCTGGGCCTGGAGTGAAGATCTGGGCCTGGAGTGGAGATATGGGCCTGGAGTGGGGATAGGAACCTGGAGTGGAGAGAGGAACCTGGAGGAGAGATAGGAACCTGGAGGGGAGGTAGGAGCCTAGGGTGGAGATATGGGACTGGAGTGGAGATATGGGACTGGAGTGGAGATATGGGCCTGGAGTGGAGTTATGGGCCTGGAGTGAAGTTATGGGCCTGGAGGTGGAGATACGGGCCTGGAGTGGAGATATGAGCCTGGAGTGGAGATATGGTCCTGGAGTGGAGATATGGGCCTGGAGTGGAGATATGGGTCTGCAGTGGAGTTATGGGCCTGGAGTGAAGTTATGGGCCTGGAGGTGGAGATATGGGACTGGAGTGGAGATATGGGACTAGAGTGGAGATAGGGGCCTGGAGGTGGAGATCTGGGCCTGGAGTGGAGATCTGGGCCTGGAGTGGAGATCTGGGCCTGGAGTGGAGATATGGGCCTGGAGTGGAGATATGGGTCTGCAGTGGAGATATGGGCCTGGAGGTGGAGATATGGGCCTGGAGTGGAGTTATGGGCCTGGAGTGAAGTTATGGGCCTGGAGGTGGAGATATGGGCCTGGAGTGGAGATATGGGACTAGAGTGGAGATAGGGGCCTGGAGGTGGAGATCTGGGCCTGGAGTGGAGATATGGCCCTGGAGTGGAGATATGGGCCTGGAGTGGAGATATGAGCCTGGAGTGGAGATATGGCCCTGGAGTGGAGATATGGGCCTGGAGGTGGAGATATGGGCCTGGAGTGGAGTTATGGGCCTGGAGTGAAGTTATGGGCCTGGAGGTGGAGATATGGGCCTGGAGTGGAGATATGGGACTAGAGTGGAGATACGGGCCTGGAGGTGGAGATCTGGGCCTGGAGTGGAGATATGGCCCTGGAGTGGAGATATGGGCCTGGAGTGGAGATATGAGCCTGGAGTGGAGATATGGCCCTGGAGTGGAGATATGGGCCTGGAGTGGAGATATGAGCCTGGAGTGGAGATATGGCCCTGGAGTGGAGATATGGGCCTGGAGTGGAGATATGGGCCTGGAGTGGACATATGGGTCTGGAGTGGAGATACGGGCCTGGAGGTGGAGATATGGGCCTGGAGTGGAGATATGGGCCTGGAGGTGGTGATATGGGCCTGGAGTGTAGACATGGGCCGAGTGGAGATATGGGTCTGGAGTGGAGATATGGGCCTGGAGTGGAGATATGGGACTGGAGTGGAGATATAGGCATGGGGTGGAGACATGGGCCGGGAGTGGAGATATGGGACTGGAGTGGAGATACGGGCGTGGGGTGGAGATATGTGCCTGGAGGTGGAGATATGGGCGTGGGTTGGAGATATGGGCCTGGAGTGGAGATATGGGCGTGGGGTGGAGATATGGGTCTGGAGTGGAGACATGGGCATGGGGTGGAGATATGGGCCTGGTGTGTAGATATGGGCCTGGAGTGGAGATATGGCCCTGGAGTGGAGATATGGGCCTGGAGTGGAGATCTGGGCCTACGGTGGAGATATGGGCCTAGGATGGGGATATGGGCCTGGAATGGAGATATGGGCCTGGGTGTGGAGATATGGGACTGGAGTGGAGATATGGGCCTGATGTGGAGATATGGGCTTGGAGTGGAGATATGATCCTGGAGTGTAGTTATGGGCCTGGAGGTGGAGATCTGGGCCTGGGGTGGAGATATGGGCCTGGAGTGGAGATATGGGACTGGAGAGGAGATATGGGACTGGAGTGGAGATATGGGCCTGGAGTGGAGATATGGGCCTGGATTGGAGATATGGGCCGAGGGTGGAGATCTGAGCCTGGATTGGAGATGTGGGCCCGGATTGGCTATATGGGTCTAGGGTGGAAATATCGGCCTGGAGTGGAGATATGGGCCTGGAGTGGAGATATGGGCTTGGGGTGGGGATATGGGCCTGGAGGCTGGGTCTCTGCACAGCCGAGAGCACTGTTCTTGGGTGCAGGTAGGCACTGATGGTGAGTTTCCCTTCGGCCCAGGAAGGGGCTGGCTATCAAGACTCACAGCCCAGTGGGGGCAGCAAGGAAGGCCTTGTTTGCCTGCAAATGGATCTTCCATCATGATCTTTCTTTCCAGGGTTCTTCTTGCTGCAGGGGGCCTGGCCACAGGAGGGTAAGTCCTTCTCCAAACCTTAGGGTGTCATCTCCCCACATAAGAGGATTTTCCTGAAACGGGAGGGAAGTCCTGTCAGGGAGTCTCTCATAAACTAGGAAGAGGGGACCCTGGGGTGCTCGGCCCACAGTTCCGACCTTGCCTCCCTGGCCTCTCAACCCCTTGGCAGAGTCAAGTTGTGTGGGGACCAGGGTTGGACTAGGGTGTTCAAAGCTGGGTTGTGTGGTGGGGAAGTGGTAGGAACAGCAGATCCTCTGAGGACAAAGGTGTTACTCACACACTTCAGCGTTTCCATGACGGTAGGGGCTGCAGTGTGGCTGCTGTCATTCTACCAGAAGAGGTGGGAAACCACAGCCATGGCCCTGACATTCCAAATCCTCTGATGGGGGCTAAGTTTTTTATTTTCATTCAGGCAACTGCTGATATTCCATTCTCAAAGGACATGCCCTCCACTTCATGTCTACCCTGTGTTGTTTTATGTCAGTAATCTTACAGTATTAAAATCTAGTAGGAGTCTCTTACTCAGCACTTGCTCAAAGTTCTCAGCTGACACTTTTGTTGTACGGAGACACCTTGTCTTTGTGGGATGGGTCCTTCCTTTAGCCCTAGGCACCAAGGTGTGATAGCAGCCATAGAAATGTGGAAAGTGGGGAGAATCTTCTGAGCACAGGGAGGGAGGCACAGCTCCACATCCTCCTCTCTAAGGCGGCGCCTCCTTCACCCCAAGGTGGTCAGGACAAGCCCTTGCTTTCTACCTGGCCCAGCCTTGTGGTGCCTCCAGAACATGTGACTCTTCAGTGTCACTCTAATCTTGGGTTTAACAACTTCAGTCTGTACAAGGATGATGGGGTGCCTGTCCCTGAGCTGTACAACAGAATATTCTGGAAAAGCCTTTTCATGGGCCCTGTGACCCCGTCACATGCAGGGACCTATAGATGCCGGGGTTCACACACACACTCCCCCAGTGGGTGGTCGGCACCCAGCAACCCCCTGGTGATCATGGTCACAGGTCAGAGGGCTCCTGTCTGGGATTCTCCTTGTCCCACCTCCTGAATCCCAGAGCTTCTGGTAGGCATGTCCTTGAGGGTCCCATCACGCAGGCCCTAACTGTATTTGGGGTAAAGGGGGATTGAATACAGGGAAATGGGTGCTGTGGTGGGAAGAATAAGTGTCCCCAGTGATGACTGCATTCTAATCCCTGGAGTCTGTGACTATTTATGTTATAGGGGAAGGGACTGAAGGGGAAGATGGAGCTCAGGTTGTTGATGAGTTGACCTTGAGATGGGGAGACAGCCTGGACTGTCCCGGTGGGCTCAGTATAATCACAAGTGTCCACATGAAAGGAGGAGGAAGAGGAGAGTGGGGATTAGAGCAGCGTAGTGGGAGACTCCATCAGCTTTGAAGGTGGATGAAGGCCATAAGCCATGAATGCAGGTGGCCTATAGAGGCTGGGAAAGTCAAGTAACTGATTCTCCTGAGTCTCCAGAGGGAACACAGCCCTGCAGATGCCTTGATTTTAGCCCTCGAAAAACAGGGTCCGCTTTCTGTCTCCAGAATCGGAGGGGGTCAGTGTGCTCTCTCCTGCTGCCATGCTTCTGATAATTTTCTAAAGCAGCAACAGGAAACCAACACTGGAACCCAGGTCAAGGACAAGTTAAGAAAAGACACAAGGATAGCCAGGCATGGTGGCAGGTGCATGTAATCCTAGCGACTCGGGAGGCTGAGAGCAGGAGAATCGCTTGAACCCAGGAGACAGAGGTTGCAGTGAGCGTAGACCACACCACTTCACTCCAGCCTGGGTGAAGGAGTGAGACTCTGTCTCCAAAATTAATTAATTAATTAAAGAAACCAAACAAAGAGAAGGTTGGCTACACCGAGATCAGCAAGGGTGGGATGATGATGCCACCACCAGGCTCCATCCACATAGGGAGGGGTTGATACTCCTCAAATCAGCACGAGGAGCCAGCCTATGGAAACTGGCACCATGGAGAAGGCACAGACATGGCAAGAGTGGCTCCCAGTCCCCACCAGGAACAGGGTGTGTGGACACTGGTGCCTGCCTTACTGATCAGTTCATACCTCCTGCCAAGGATTCCAATTCGTCCAAAAGAGATTGAACCAGGCTGCTAAGAGCCGGGACGTGCAGCCTATCCTGCTTCCTCTTCCACTCCCACATAGACAGTAAGAAAGACATTAGTGTGAAATAGATACAACAGCCCAAGAGATGAGGCTGAGCCCAGTGGGAAGGGAATCACAGCTACTAGAGACAGAGGGACAGAGAAGAGGGAGGGAGACAGATGGAAGGACCTGCACCAGGAGTTATGGGCACAGAAAAGAACATGAAGACACAGAGAGGAAGCAGAGAGACAGACACCAGCGAAGGGAAGGCTCACTCATTCCAGGTGCCATGGATGGGATGATAAAGAGAGACACCTTCTAAACTCACAACCTCTCTTCCTAGGAGTCCACAGAAAACCTTCCTTCCTGGCCCTCCCAGGTCACCTGGTGAAATCAGAAGAGACAGTCATCCTGCAATGTTGGTCGGATGTCATGTTTGAGCACTTCCTTCTGCACAGAGAGGGGAAGTTTAACAACACTTTGCACCTCATTGGAGAGCACCATGATGGGGTTTCCAAGGCCAACTTCTCCATTGGTCCCATGATGCCTGTCCTTGCAGGAACCTACAGATGCTACGGTTCTGTTCCTCACTCCCCCTATCAGTTGTCAGCTCCCAGTGACCCTCTGGACATGGTGATCATAGGTGAGAGTGTCCAGACATTCTTCTCATTGTCATTGGGATGCAGAGTGAATGATCCAGGACTTGGAGACCCAGGTGGTTGTAAGGAAGATGAGCTTGGTATTCTTATGGAGAGAGACTGACTTGGTGAGGTCTGTGCCAACAGAGACAGAGAAACAAGAGACACAAGTACAGACCAGGTGTCATAACAGAGGACAAACACAGGGGCCATACAGGGAGTTAGAAAAGACAGAAAGAGTTAAAGGAGACAGACAGACATGTCCCAGACAGAGGTGTCCTTCCATGCTGACTTTGCTCAGAGACCTGGCACAGGTTAGAAGTTTCATTTCTGTTTTACCTCCACAAAGTGTTCTCTACCAGGAGAACCCAAGGACACCCATATTTCTGACCTGAGTTGGGCCCTGTGGCCTCAGGCCTTGTGGCACCTACAGATGCCATGCTTATTCTGACACCTCTGACTTCCATGCAATGGAGAATAATCGTCCCAAAATATCATGGCCCCAGAACACCAACCCCTGTATGCTGTGTGAACTTGTGGTCTCCAGACTGGATTCTGAGGCTCACATTCCAAATAACCCCACATATCACATATGAGAGGATCACTGAGAAGCACAGAGAGAAATCAGGGACACCAAAAAGCAAAGACATAAACACACAGAGAAAGAGCCAGAGGAAGGAGATTGAGAGACTCACAGACACATAAAGAGAGAGAAGAGGGCAGAGAAGTGGAGAGAATGATGGAAGAGAGCAGAGAAAACCACTAAAATTAGAGTCCTGAGGGCGAGGCACAAGGGCATAGAAAGATGGAGATGTGGGGATGAATTGCAGAGATTCCAAAGAGAACTAGAGAGACCGAGAGGCAGAGCAAGACAGATGATAGATGGATAGATACAGATAGATGATGGATAGATATAGATAGATGATATATAGGTAGATGATAGATAATAGGTTATAGATACATAGATGATGATTGATTGATTCATTAATAGATGATACATAGAGATGATGATGATGAAGATAGATGGATAGATAATACATAGAGATAGAGAGGAAGACAAAGAGAGAAATAATAGAGAGAGAGAGATGATACATATATATAGATAATAGATGATTGACGGATAGACAATTGATAGATAAATAGATGATATATAGATATAGATGACAGGTAGAGAATTTGTAGATAGGCACCGAATAGATAAATAGATGGATTGATAGATAATAGATAGAAATATGCAGAAAGTTATGAACGGGACACAAACTGAGAAACTCAGAGTTAAAAAAAGTAACATCAAGTCAACCAATCCAAGGAGAGCCAGAGAGAATAAAACAATCCAAAAAAGGAAAACATAACTAGAGGTAGGGAAGTGAGGTCAGAGACCTACAGAGACAGAGAAGGTGGAAGGAGGAAATAGACATGAAGAGAGATAGGGTGGAGGGTGAGACAGAGAAAGAGAGCATTAGGCCATAGAGCAGGGGAGTGAGTTCTCAGGTCAGGTGTGAGGGGAGCTGTGACAAGGAAGATCCCCCCTGAGGAAACTGCCCCTTCTCCTTCCAGGTCTATATGAGAAACCTTCTCTCTCAGCCCAGCCGGGCCCCACGGTTCAGGCAGGAGAGAATGTGACCTTGTCCTGCAGCTCCCGGAGCTCCTATGACATGTACCATCTATCCAGGGAAGGGGAGGCCCATGAACGTAGGCTCCCTGCAGTGCGCAGCATCAACGGAACATTCCAGGCCGACTTTCCTCTGGGCCCTGCCACCCACGGAGGGACCTACAGATGCTTCGGCTCTTTCCGTGACGCTCCCTACGAGTGGTCAAACTCGAGTGATCCACTGCTTGTTTCCGTCACAGGTGAGGAAACCCCATATCTGTCCCATGTCCTATGATCCTAGAGCCTTAGCTGAGGAGCTTCCTGCTGATGATGGAGAGAAGCATGGACAGATGCAGAGAGAAGACGCAGCATGCCTGTGAGGGAGGGATCAGGGCGCAGGATGGCACACACAGCACCTCCAAACCCTCCTGCATGGCCTGCATGGAGGCCTCCGATTAGGGCTCCAGAAACCCAGGCAGATGTAGAAAGCGGTCAGGAGAGACCCAGAGAAGGGGAGACTGGGCTCAGTTTGGGGAGATCAGAGGTTCCCTCAGCCCCTCAACCTTACCCATTTCCCAGAAGCCCTTCCTGGCCTCTCACCCACACAGAGATGTCATCACCAGCAACCCCTACATCCTTTTCTTTTTGTTTGAAAAAATATTCATTGAGGTTAAATATACCTATATAGCTTACCACTTTTAACATTTTTTTTTTTTTGAGGTGGAGTCTAGCTCTGTCTCCTATGCTGGAATGCAGTGGCACAATCTCAGCTCACTGTAACCTCCGCCTCCTGGGTTCAAGCGATTCTCCTGCCTCAGCCACCTGAGTAGCTGGTACTACAGGCGCCCATCACCACGCCGGGCTACTTTTTGTATATTTAGTAGAGAGGGGGTTTCACCATGTTGGTCGAGCTGCTCTGGAACTCCTGACCACGTGATCCACCCGCCTCAGGCTCCCAAAGTGCTGGGATTACAGGCATGAGCCACCGCGCCCGGCCACGTTTACCAATTTTAAGTGTAAGGTCTAGTGGTCATAAATACATACATATAAATTTTTTGTTTGTTTGTTTTATCCTCCACCCTTTTCTTCCTGGCCTCTGGTAGCCACCATTCTACTCTCTATCTTCATGAGATCCACCTTTTAGCTCCTGTATATGGGTGAGAAATGAGAATATTTGTAATGACTTCCAGTTCCATCCATGTGGCTGCAAATATCAGGATGTTATTCTTTCTATGGATGAGTAGTCTCCGCTGTGCGTATGTACTACATTCTCTCTATCCATTCATCCACTGATGGGCAGGTAGGTTGACTCCACATCTTGGCTACTGTGAAGAGTGCTGCACCAATCATACGAGTGCAGATATCACTTCGATACATTGATTTACTTTCCTTTGGATATAAACCCAGTAGTGAAATTGCTGGATACTATGAAAGTTCTCTTTTTAGTTTTTCGTTTGTTGTTTTGTTTTTGTTTTTGAGACAGTTTCCCTCTGTGCCCAGGCTGGAGTACAAGTGATGTGATCTTGGCTCATTGCAACCTCCGCCTCCTGGGTTCAAATGATTTTCCTGCCTCAGCCTCCCTAGTAGCTGGGATTACAGGTGCACGCCACCATGCCGGGATACTTTTTGGTTTTTTTTAAGTGTACATGGGGTTTCCCCAGGTTGGCTAGGCTGCTCTCAAACTCATGACCTCAACTGAGGTGCCCGCCTCGGTCTCCCAAAGTGCCGGGATTACAGGCATGATCCACTTCATCCAACCTCTTTTTAGTTCTTTAAAGGACTTCCATACTTTTCTCCGTAATGGCTGTACTAATTTACACTCCTACCAACAGGGTACCAGGGTTCTCCTTTCTCTACCACCTTGCCAGCATTTGTTTTGCCTGTCTTGCAGCTAAAAGCCATTTTATTTTATTTCATTTTATTTTGAGATGGAGTTTCGCTCTTGTCACCCAGGCTGGAGTGCAGTGGTGCGATCTCGGCTCACCGCAACCTCCACCTCCCAGGTTCAAGCGATTCTCCTGCCTCAGCCTCCCGAGTAGCTGGAATTACAGGCACACGCCACCACGCCCGACTAATTTTTGTATTTTTAGTAGAGACAGCGTTTCTCCATGTGGGTCAGACTGGTCTCAAACTCCCGACCTTATGAGATTCGCCCACCTCGGGCTCTCAGAGTTCTAGGATGACAGACGTGAGCCACCTCGCCCGGCCTAAAAGCCATTTTAATGGGGTGAGATGAAAACTCACTTTGATTTTAATTCGCGTTTCTCTGATGATGAGTGATACTGAGCACTTTTTCGTATGTGGGGAAATTTCATGTCTTTTGCTCCTTTTTCAATTAAATCATTTGTTTTATTGAGTTGTTTGAGCTTCTTATACTTCTAGTTATTAATCCCGTCTCAGATGCATAGTTTGCACATATTTGCTCCCAATCTGTGGGTTGTCTCTTCACTTTGTTGGTTTATTTTTAGCGGTGCAGAAGTTGCTTAGTTTGAGGTAATCCCAATGGTCTATTTTTGCTTCGATTACTTGTGTTTTGAAGGTTTAAAACAAAATGTCTTCCTTCAGACAAATGTACTGGAGCATTTCCCCAATATTTTCTTCTACGTGTTTCACAGGTTCAGGCCTTAGACTCACATCTTTAATCCACTTTCATTTGATTTTTGTGTATGGTGACAGGTAGAGGTGCAGTTTCATTCCTCTGCATGTAGATGTCCAGGTTTCCCTGCACTGTTTATTGAAAAAACTGTCCTTTCCTGATTGTGAGTTCTTGGCACCTTTGTCAAAGTCCATTGGATGGGCTGGGCATGGTGGCTAACACCAGCAACTTCAGCACTTTGGGAGGCCAAGGCTGGTGGATCACCTGAGGACAGGAGTACAAGATTACTCTGGCCGACGTGATGAAACATCGTCTCCACTAAAAATATAAAAATTAGCTGAGCATGGTGGTCAGCACCTGTAATACTACTACTCAGGAGTTTGAGGCAAGAGAATTGATTGAACCCAGGAGGCTGAGGTTGCAGTGAACCGAGATTGCACCTCTGCACTCCAGCCTGGGTGACAGAGCGAGACTCCATCTCAAAAGAAAAAATAAAAAAAATTGGATGTAAATGCATGGATTATATCTGTGTTCTTCATTCTGCTCCGTTGTTCTATGTGCCTTTCTTCATGCCAACATCATGCTGTTTTGCTTACTACAGCTCTGTAACATATTTTGAGATCAGGTAGTGTGATGCTCCTGTTTTCTCTTTATACCTTGAAGTCTCAAGACAGTGGGCGTCACATACAAAAATTATGGAAGAAAGGATCCCTGGACTCCCAGGGCCCAATGTTAGATAACAGAGTGTTGGCCATGAACCAAACTCAAAGATTTCCACTGAGTAGAGGACAGACACCCTCATTTCCTCACCTCTCTCCTGTCTCATGTTCTAGGAAACCCTTCAAATAGTTGGCCTTCACCCACTGAACCAAGCTCCAAAACCGGTGAGTACAGGACCCTCTTATATCCGCTTTTGGAACCCTGGGGAGGTGGAAACCTTGGATTCAGGCGTTGACTCAGCATCTCACAGCTCTGACATTGTACGCCTGTCTTCTACCATCTCCGAACTCCAGATACTCCAACAGCGAAAGGGATCTGGGCCCAACACAGGGCTCAGTGAAATCTCTTCATCTCTCATTTTATGGAGCTGAGACCTCCTACAAGCTAGAAGAATGATTGCCAATCTGACATCCTTCTCAGGAAAAACGCAATGTTTGTTCTGCTTGCATTCCTAACTGGAGGATAAATTCCTGGGGGCTTGAGAGAGGGAAGGGAAGCGAACATCTGATGAGGGCGAGGTGTTTTAGAGAAGTTCCACTTGCCAAGGAATGAGCTCCTGTTGGTCATGAAACAACCCTGGCTGACTCAGCAGAGCAAGAGCCTTGCCGTAACAGAGAACAGAGCTCATGCACGCACACTTTGACTCACTGACTTATTCAGCCACGGCCCCATGCTCAGGTTGTGCAGTGTGGAAGCTTTTCCTATTGTTGCCATAACAAATTTCCACAAGATTCGTGGGTGAAAACAAAACGGTTATTTAATTATCTTACAGTGCTCTAGCTCAAAGCATGAAGTGCATCTCACTGGGCTAAAATCAAGATGACAGCAAGCCTGCCTTCCCTCTGAGGATTCCAGGCAAGAATCTGCTTCTCACTTGTCCCATCTTATAAAGGCTCCCAGTTCCTTGGCTGCTGGTCCCTTTCCTCCTTCCTCAAAACCCACAAAGACTGGTCACATCTCACATGGCATCACTCAGACCCTTCTTCCTTACCACACCTCTTTCTCTGAATGCTGCTCTCCCTTCTTCCTCATCTTTTGAAAACTTGGGGATTCTATTGGGTTCACCAAGATGAAAATCCCTCATAATCTCCCGGAAATCATTCAGGATACCCTTGTTTTAAGTTCAGCTGATTAGCAACCATAATTCCATCTGCAATCTTCATTCCTCCTTTCCATGTAAAATAACATATTCACAAGCTATGGAGGCTAGGACAGGGACATTTTGGGGTGGGACAGCATTCTCCTGCCTTCCACAAATGGTGAACAAGATGCATTTGGCCTCTGCTCTTGGGACACTGATATTGCAGATGGTTAAATGGGAGGACAGAAAATGAATGCACAAGTGGACCAATAAATGAATGATCCATTGGGAAGCATCTGTGCATGAAATCTATTTGTTTGTTTGTTCGTTTGTTTATTGAGACAGAGTCTCCCTCTGTCTTCCAGGCTACAGTGCAGTGTCACGATCTTGGCTCACTGCAACCTGCGTCTCCTGGATCCAAGTGATTCTCCTGCCTCACCCTCTCGAGTAGCTGGGATTACAGGCAACTGCCACCATGCCCGGCTAATTCTTTTTGTATATTTTTTGTAGAGAGGATGTTTCACCATGTTGGCCAAGCTTGTCTGAAACTCCCAACCTCAAGTGATCCGACCATCTCAGCAACCCAAAGTACTGGGATTACAGGCGTGAGCCACTTTGCCCAGCCAGAATTCAAAATAAATAATAGATAATGCTGAGTGTATAATTTTGGGTGACAGAGAAGGTCTCACTAATCAGATATTTGTGACATTAATGAAAAACACGGATTGAACCCCTGAAAGATTGGCGGAAGGATTTTCCACACACAGCTGTCAGCTGTGAAGGCACAAAGGTGAAAACAATCTGATGTTGAAGGAAGAGGCTCTGCCTGAAATGCTGGGAATGAGGTGGGGAGAATGACAAGATGACTGTAGAGAGATGGAGAGCACTCTGGGTACACAGGAAACTAAGGAGGAACAAGGAGTGTGTGTTTGACACTCACAGCCATTGGATTCACCTCGGGGTAACCAGGAATCCCTACATGATTAATAGTGACTGACAAGAAAATAAGGGAGGCCCAGGTGCGTAACTGGAATCTAGGAGACTGTGGAAAAGGCAATTGCCGCCCCACTGGTGAAATGTGGTGCTGATTTAGACACTAAATGAATGAAGTAGATGGATATAAGATATGCTTGTGAGGTAGAATCATTGGCTGGAAAGGCTTGCTGGGTTTGATTTTCCTACTTGTTTAATCCTCGCTTAATTAATTTCTTTCTGAGATTTATTCATCCTACACATAAATCAATACCTGGCAAAGGAGTGACAGATATATGAGGGGTGGTGGAAATGAAGGGACCTATTATAGCATAATATACAAGTCTGTGAACGGTGGCTCATGCTTGTAACCCAGCCCTGCAGGAGGCCAAGGCGGGTGGATTCCATGAAGTCAGGAGTTCCAGACCAGCCTGGCCAACATGGTGAAACCCTATCTGTACTAAAAATACAAAAATTAGCCGAGCATGGTGGTGCATCCCTGTAATCCCAGCTCCTACTCTGGAGGATGAAGCAGGAGAATGACTTCAACCCAGGAGGTGGAGGTTGCAGTGAGTGGAGATTGCATCACTGCACTCCAGCCTGGGTGACACAAGGAGACTCCGTCTCAAAAAATAAAAATAAGAAATGCATAAATATAATAAAACACACACGAATGACAAAGGCACCTGAATTCCAATCATCATTTTTCTATTTCTCTATAATTACTTCTTTGATCCTTTATCTTATCCATTAGGCAATGAGCCTAAAACCTCTTCCCTATTTGGCTTTCTGTGAGCATGAGATCACATAGAAAATGTGAAAGCCCGCTGAATCCTCCAGCACGGATCCTGGAATAGAGAAAGTGCTCTGGTCATCGCAAAAAAAAACTTGCCCCCTCACCCAAATCCCCCATCTCACCCCTACTTCCAATCACCTGTGGAGATTCAGATAGACCATGGGGAGGAAACATTAATATTCCTTGGAGTGAGTCCAGATCTTGGAATCAGAGATCAGCGACAGCACTAGCTCCTGTTCCCCTTTCCTACTAATTCACAGGAGGACAGGTGGTATTGAAGCAATAGATGGTGGAGGGGGTGGTCCTTCCCCCAGCCTCTCGGGTAGAACAGCAGCCTAACATGTGTCTCCCGAGATCACAAAGAGCAGCACATTTCACACGGGCTTCAACACTATTTTCTGGCTGTTTGACATAAGAGAATCTTGCTTCGCTATTTTTAATCGTGATTTCACCTTTGTTTCCTTTCCTTGGTGAATGCAATTTGTTTGACTCAAGAATGCTGTGGATGTAGAAATCCTAAAGCACATTCGCTGTGTATCAATCCCAGTGCAGTCTTCCCAGAGAAGACTCTAAACAAATCCTGGACTGCACCTGGGCCTATGCCAATTCCTATCACTCACCGTCACTCCAGGGAGACAGAACACACAGAGGATACGTTACATAGGCAGGTTCATTACTAACAGATAAGCAGCGAGTGACAACAGAAGCCTGCATTTCAATGTGAGCCAGTCCCTCAAGGCTCAGAAAAGCTGCTCGGGACATATGGAGTCACCCCATTTGCAGTGTAACTGGGGGAAGCCAGAAAGCAGCCCAGCCTGGGTTTTGTACCCTGGAGCCACAGGAAGCACTCAGCTAAAGCACTGCATGACGTCCTCCTCCAGGAAGAACAGGAAGACAGCCCAGGCTGTTCTGAGACATTCCTCCTGATCTCAGGATGTTGCTATCTTAGTCCATTTTTGTTGCTCTAAAGGAACACTTGAGCCTGGGTAACTTCTAAAGAAAAGAGATTGGTTTGCCTCACAGTTCTGCAGGCTGTACTGGAAGCATGGCACCAGAATCTATTTCTCTTGACGGCCTCAGGCTGCTCCCACTCTGGCAGAAGGGAAGGAGGGTCTGTCTGTGCAGAGACCGCAGAGATCACACGGCAAGAGAGAGAGTAAGGGGGAGAGGGAGCGATGGAGCTTCCAAGCTCTTTTTAACAACCAGCTCTCCAGGAACTAACAGAGGGGGAACTTGCTAACCCCGTCTCCTTGGGACAGCATTGATCTGTTCATGATGGATCCACCTCCATGACCCAAACACCTCTGAAGAGGCCCAACCTCCCACAATGGGGGTGAAATTTCAATGTGAGGTTTGAAAGGGTCAAACATCTCAACTAAAGTAGTTGTATCCTCAGCACGTTCTATGGTTACTATGAGAGCTATAATTGAGAAAGCAGGGGAAAGCTAGGTCTCCCGCCATTTGGGTGCTTGTCCTAAAGAGACGTTGTATGTGGTTACCTGCCAATCAAGAAATGCGAGACAATTCATAAAGAGGAACTGCTATGATTAGCTTCTTATTGGTGTCTCCTCTTCTTCCAGGTAACCCCAGACACCTACATGTTCTGATTGGGACCTCAGTGGTCAAAATCCCTTTCACCATCCTCCTCTTCTTTCTCCTTCATCGCTGGTGCTCCGACAAAAAAAGTAAGTCTCACGAAGCAGAGGCCAGAGAGCTCAGGGCCATGTGGGGAAGCAGGATGGGAGCACGCGGATGTGTGTTCCTCACCAGCAGGATGGTCCCTGGCCCAAGACAGGAGCCACAGAGGCAGGACTTTCTAGAGAGAGCACCAGATTCCCTTCCCCTGCCTTCAGCTCACAGACCATTGCCTGATTCTGAACTGTATCCTCACGTCCCCTACAGCCACTCACATCCAGGAGAAGGTTCCATGACAGGCAGAAAGTGGGAGATAGAATCAATGGGATGGGACCTCAGAGCTATTCATGGGATGGGTCCTTGAACTCAGAGAGATAGAATGTCTGAGTCTGCTGTTGGCAACTGAGGGACCTCAGGCACCTATGGCCTCCCCCTGTTTGTTGGTATCTGCTTATGAAATGAGGACCCAGAAGTGCCCTCCGAGCTCTTTTGTTGACTTCCGTCTTCTACAGATGCTGCTGTAATGGACCAAGAGCCTGCAGGGAACAGAACAGTGAACAGCGAGGTAGGTGCTCCTCGGCCCAGCCTCGTGGCTAGTCTTATTCCCAAAGAGTCCTGAAAAATGTGAGCACCCTCCCTCACTCAGCATTTCCCTCTCTCCAGGATTCTGATGAACAAGACCATCAGGAGGTGTCATACGCATAATTGGATCACTGTGTTTTCACACAGAGAAAAATCACTCGCCCTTCTGAGAGGCCCAAGACACCCCCAACAGATACCAGCATGTACATAGAACTTCCAAATGCTGAGCCCAGATCCAAAGTTGTCTTCTGTCCACGAGCACCACAGTCAGGCCTTGAGGGGATCTTCTAGGGAGACAACAGCCCTGTCTCAAAACCGGGTTGCCAGCTCCCATGTACCAGCAGCTGGAATCTGAAGGCATCAGTCTTCATCTTAGGGCATCGCTCTTCCTCACACCACGAATCTGAACATGCCTCTCTCTTGCTTACAAATGTCTAAGGTCCCCACTGCCTGCTGGAGAGAAAACACACTCCTTTGCTTAGCCCACAATTCTCCATTTCACTTGACCCCTGCCCACCTCTCCAACCTAACTGGCTTACTTCCTAGTCTACCTGAGGCTGCAATCACACTGAGGAACTCACAATTCCAAACATACAAGAGGCTGCCTCTTAACACAGCACTTAGACACGTGCTGTTCCACCTCCCTTCAGACTATCTTTCAGCCTTCTGCCAGCAGTAAAACTTATAAATTTTTTAAATAATTTCAATGTAGTTTTCCCGCCTTCAAATAAACATGTCTGCCCTCATGGTTTCGGTAACGAGACTCTTTTCTTGCCTAAGGCTTCCGGTGTTATCATTACCATGTCCACATAACCCCATCTGTTCTCCATTGGGTTCTCAGCCCTGGACTCTGAGCTTCTGGAAGCAGAATGTAGCCTGATTTGTCTCTGAGACTCCAATTTCCATCCAAAGATACAGCACATAGGAGGCTCCAAGGATCGTGAATCACATGAACAAGTGATATTCTTACTCTCTGCAGACCTGGAAAGCTGGCAGAGTCATTCCACGATGAAACATTTGTAGAGACATAGGCCTTGTTAGTCTCATCTCCACGGGGACACATATCAACATATCATCTTTCATAATATAAATATACAGTCGGTCCTCCATATCTGTGGGGTTTACAGGTGTTTATTGAACAAACAATAAATCAAAAATATTTTCAGAAAAAAATCCCCGAAGTTTCAAGAAGCAAAAAACTATGTTGAATCGACACAAATTGAGTGGCGTGTAGGCTGTGTCAGGAATTATAAGTAATCAAGAGATGATTTCATGTATACAGGAGGATGTGCATGGGTTCTATGCAATTGCTATGCTATTTTTTTTTTTTTTTGAGACAGTCTCACTCTCTCACCCAGGCTGGAGTGCAGTGGCATGATCTCAGCTCACTGCAACCTCTGCCTCCCAGGTTCAAGCGATTGTCTTCCCTCAGCCTCCCCAGTAGCCTCCCCTAGGATTACAGGCACGTGCCACCATGCACAGATAAATTTTTTTGTGTGTGTATTTTTAGTAGAGACGGGGTTTCAGAATGTTGGACCAGCTGGTCTTGAACTCCTGACCTCGTGATCTACCCAACTCAGCCTCCCAAAGTGCTGGGATTACAGGCGTGAGCCACGGTGCCCAGCTTCGCTATGCCATTTCATGCAAGGGGCTTGAGCATCTGCAGATTTTGGTATCTGAATGGGGATCCTGGAACCAATCACCCAGGAATAGTGAAGGACCACAGTATATAATTTTTATTTGTCAATCTTAAAAATAAAGCATAAAAAGTTTACAACAACAAGATAAAAAATAAGAAGTGTTTTTATAGTGTGAGGATAAGTTTAGATTTATTTTTTCCTACGTGTAACCCTATGGTCCTGTGTTATTTATTGAGAAAATATTCTATTCCACCTTAAACTACATGGCAGCCTTTGTCAACTATAAAGGGACTGTGTATCCACAGATGTATTTTAGACACAGTTTTCTGCCCAGTGGTTCTCTGTATCCCCTCTCATGAGGATGCTGCATTTCATATAAACTTATAGAACCCCTTAAAATTTGGTAACCTGAGTTCTCTGATTTGTTATTATAGGTTATTTAGTTTGCTTTTTTTTTTCTTTCTTGAGACAGACTCTTCCTCTGTCACCCAAGCTGGAGTTCAGTGGCTTGAGCTCAGCTCACTGCAGCCTCCGCCTCCCAGGTTCAAGCAATTCTCGTGCCTCAGGTTTAGTACTAGAAACTCATCAGGAAAATTAGAATGGCTTTTTGTCACAATTACTCTGATAATGTTAATAATACCTCTTAGATATTTTGCACATTACACATGAAGAAAAGTTTGAATCTCAGATAAAAACAAAAATACATCAAAAGTCTTTAATGTAAGCACAGAATTCAATCACCTCATGTGTGAGAGGTTGGATCTGAGACGTCTTTTGAGTCTGGTCATAGTGAAGGATGCAAGGTGGCAATTGTAGTCACAACAATTTCCAGGAAGCCATGTTCCGCTCTTGAGCGAGCACCCACTGGGCCTCATGCAAGGTAGAAAGAGCCTGCGTACGTCACCCTCCCATGATGTGGTCAACATGTAAACTGCATGGGCAGGGCGCCAAATAACATCCTGTGCGCTGCTGAGCTGAGCTGGGGCGCGGCCTCCTGTCTGCACCGGCAGCACCATGTCGCTCACTGTCGTCAGCATGGCGTGCGTTGGTGAGTCCTGGAAGGGAATAGAGGGAGGGAGAGTGGGGATGGAGATCTCGGCCTAGAGGTAAAGATATGGGCCTGGAGTGGAGATATGGGCCTGGAGTGGAGATATGGGCCTGGGTGTGGAGATATGGGCCTGGAGGTGTAAATATGGGCCTGGAGTGCAGATATGGGCCTGGAGGGGAGATATGGGCCTGGGTGTGGAGATATGGGCCTGGAGTGGAGATACGGGCCTGGAGTGGAGATATGGGCCTGGAGTGGAGATATGGGCCTGCAGGTGGAGATCTGGGCCTGGAGTGGAGATATGGGCCTGGAGTGGAGATATGGGTCTGATGTGGAGATATGGGCCTGGAGTGGAGATATGGGCCTGGAGTGGAGATATGGGCCTAGAGGGGAGATCTGGGCCTGGAGTGGAGATATGGGTCTGATGTGGAGATATGGGCCTGGAGTGGAGATAGGGGCCTGGAGTGGAGATAGGGGCCTGGAGTGGAGATATGGGCCTGGAGTGGAGATCTGGGCCAGGAAGTGTTGATCTGGGCCTGGAGCCTGGGTCTCTCCACAGCTGAGAGCCCTGTTCTTGGCAGCAGGTAGCAGGGAGGCTAAGTTTACCTTCAGCCCAGCAAGGGCCTGGCTGCCAAGACACACAGTGCAGTGGGGGCAGCAGGGTGCCCTGGTTTGCCTGCAGTTGGATCGTCTATCATGATCTTTCTTTCCAGGGTTCTTCTTGCTGCAGGGGGCCTGGCCACTCATGGGTGAGTCCTTCCCCAAACCTTAGGGTGTCATCTCCCCACATAAGAGGATTTTTCTGAAACAGGAGGGAAGTCCTGTCGGGGAGTCTCTCATAAACTAGGAAGAGGGGACCCTTGGATACTCGGCCCACATTTCTGACCTCGCCCTCCCCGGCCTTTCTTTCCCTTTCCTGAGTCAAGCTCTGTGAAGACTGGGGTGAGACTGGGGTGCTCCAAGCTGGGGTGTGCAGGGAGGAAGTGGTGTCAGCAGCAGAGAAAGAGAGGGAAGCAGTGCTAGGAACAGCAGGTCCTCTGAGGACAAAGGTATAACTGACACCCTCCAGCGTTTCCGTGACGGTAGGGGCTGCAGTGTGGCTGCGGTCTTTCTACCAGAAGAGGGGGGAAACCACAGCCATGGCCCTGACATTCCAAATCCTCTGAGGGGGCTCAGTTCATGAATTGGCTGATATTCCATTCACATAGGACATGCCCTCCATGCCGTGTCTACTTTGTGTTGTTTTATGTGAGTAATTTTGCAGTATTAAAATCTAGTAAGAGTCACTTATTCAGCACTTGCTCAAAGTTCTCAGCTGACACTTGTTGTAGGGAGACGCCATGTCTATGTGGGGTGGGTCCTTCCTGTAGCCCTGGGCACCCAGGTGTGGTAGGAGCCTTAGAAAGCGGAAATGGGAGAATCTTCTGAGCACAGGGAGGGAGGGGTGGCTCCACATCCTCCTCTCTAAGGCAGTGCCTCCTTCTCCCCCAGGTGGTCAGGACAAACCCTTCCTGTCTGCCCGGCCCAGCACTGTGGTGCCTCGAGGAGGACACGTGGCTCTTCAGTGTCACTATCGTCGTGGGTTTAACAATTTCATGCTGTACAAAGAAGACAGAAGCCACGTTCCCATCTTCCACGGCAGAATATTCCAGGAGAGCTTCATCATGGGCCCTGTGACCCCAGCACATGCAGGGACCTACAGATGTCGGGGTTCACGCCCACACTCCCTCACTGGGTGGTCGGCACCCAGCAACCCCCTGGTGATCATGGTCACAGGTCAGAGGCTTTCTGTCTGGGCTTCTCACTGTCCCACCTCCTGAATCCCAGAGCTTCTGGTGGGGGTGTCCATCAGGGTCCCATCACCCAGGCCCCAACTGTATTTGGGGTCAAGGGGGATTGAATACAGGGGAAATGGGCGCTGTGGTGGGAAGAATCACTGTCGCCAATGATGGCTACATTGTAAACCCTGGAGCCTGTGACTATTTATGTTATAGGGCAGGGGACTGAAGGGGAAGGTGGAGCTCAGGTTGTTGATGAGTTGACCTTGAGATGGGGAGACAGCCTGGACTGTCCTGCTGGGCTCAGTGTAATCACAAGGGTCCGCGTGAGAGGTGGAGGAAGAGGGGAGTGGGGATTAGAGCAGTGTAGTGGGAGGGAGACGCTATCAGCCACTGTGGGCTTTGAAGGTGGAGGAAGGCCACTAGTCACAGAATGCAGGTGGCCTCTAAGGGCTGGAGAAGTCAAGAGAACTGATTCGCTGAGTCTCCAGAGGGAACGCAGCCCTGCAGATGCCTTGATTTCAGCACAGGGAGAACTGGATCCAATTTCTGTCCCCAGAAGTGGAAGGGGTCAGTGTGTTCTCTCCTGCTGCCATGTTTGTGATAATTTTCTGCAGCAGCAACAGGAAACCGACACAGGAACCCAGGTCAAGGACAAGCTAGGAAACCAAACAAGGATAGCCAGGTGTGGTGGTGGGCACGAGTAATCCAACGACTGGGGAGGCTGAGGCAAGAGAATCACTTGAACCGGGGAGGCAGAGGTTGCAGTGAGCCAAGACAACACCACTGCACTCCAGCCTGGGTGAAAAAGTGACTGTCTCAAAAATAAATTAATTAATCAATTAATTAAAGAAACCAAACAAGGAGAAGGTTGGCTACCGTGGGATCAGCAAGGGTGGGATGCTGATGCCACCACCAGGCTCCATCCACATAGGAAGGGGTTGATGCTCCTGGAACCAGCACCAGGGACCACCCTATGGAAGCTGGGGCCATGGAGAAGGCACAGACATGGCAGGAGAGGCTCCCAATCCCCATCAGGAACAGGGTGTGTGGACACTGATGTCTGCCTTACTGATGAGTTGATACCTCTGCCAGAGACTCCAATTTGTTCAAAAGAGATTGATTCAGGCTGCTGAGAGCCTGGACATGCAGCCTGTCCTCTTCCACCCCCACATAGACAGCAGGAAAGAGACTAGTGGGAAAGAGATACAACAGCCCAAGAGATGAGGCTCTCTTCACAGTGGGAAGGGAGTCAGGGGCTACTGGAGACAGAGGGACAGAGAAGAGGGAGGAAGACAAATGGAGGGACCTGCACCAGGGGATATGGGCACAGAAAAGACACGGAGACACAGAGAGGGAGGAGAGAGACAGACCTCTGGGAGGGGAACCCTCACTCATTCCAGGTGCCATGGATGGGATGATAAAGAGAGATGCCTTCTAAACTCACAACTTCTCTTTCTAGGAAACCACAGAAAACCTTCCCTCCTGGCCCACCCAGGGCCCCTGCTGAAATCAGGAGAGACAGTCATCCTGCAATGTTGGTCAGATGTCATGTTTGAGCACTTCTTTCTGCACAGAGAGGGGATCTCTGAGGACCCCTCACACCTCGTTGGACAGATCCATGATGGGGTCTCCAAGGCCAACTTCTCCATCGGTCCCTTGATGCCTGTCCTTGCAGGAACCTACAGATGTTATGGTTCTGTTCCTCACTCCCCCTATCAGTTGTCAGCTCCCAGTGACCCCCTGGACATCGTGATCACAGGTGAGAGTGTCCAGACATTCTTCTCATTGTCATTGGGACACAGAGTGAATGATCCAGGACTTGGAACCCCCAGGTGGTCATGAGGAAGATAAGCGTGAGATTCTTATGGAGAGAGACTGACTCGGTGAGGTCTGTACCAACAGAGACAGGGAAACAGGAGACATAAGTACAGACCAGGTGTCATAACAGAGGACAGACACAGGGGCCATACGGGGAAGTAGAAAAGAGAGAAAGAGGTAAAGGAGACACTCAGACAGACAGACATGTGCCAGAGAGAAGTGTCCTTCCATGCTGACTTTGCTCAGAGACCTGGCACAGGTTAGAAGTTTCATTTCTGTTTTGTCTCCACAAAGTGCTTCTACGAGGAGAACCCAAGGACACCCATATTTCTGACCTGAGTTGGGCCCTGTGGCCTCAGGCCTTGTGGCATCTACAGATGCCATGTTTATTCTGACACCTCTGCCTTCCATGCAGTGGAGCCATAATTATCCCAGGATATCATGGCCCCAGAACACCAACCCCTAAATACTGTGTGTACTTGGTGTCCCCAGACTAGATTCTGAGGCTCATATTCCAAATAATCCTACATATAATAGGATCACTGAGAGACACAGAGATAAATCAGGGACTTCAAAAAGCAAAGGCATAAACACACAGAGAATGAGCCAGAGGAAGGGGATTGAGAGACTCACAGACACACAAAAAGAAAGAAAAGAGGGCAGAGGAGTGGAGAGAATGCTGGAAGGGAGGAGAGAAAAGCCCCAAAATCAGAACCCTGAGGGAGGGGCACAAAGACAGAGAAAGATAAAGATGTGGGGATGGATTGCAGAGATTCCAAATAGAACTAGAGAGACTGAGAGGCAGAGAAAGACAAGGAGATGGAGAGAGACAGATGATAGATGGATAGATAGATATAGATAGATGATAAATAGGTAGATGATAGATAATGGATAGGTTATAGATACATAGATGATGATTGATAGATGATACATAGAGATGATGATGATGATGATGATGAAGATAGATAGATAGAAGACACATATATAAATATATAGATACATAGATGATACATAGAGACTGACAGGCAGACAGAGAGGTAATAGAGAGAGAGAGAGATGATACATAGATACAGATAATACATAGATGATTGATGGATAGACAGATAGACAATTGATAGATAAATGATACATAGATATAGATGACAGATAATTTGTAGATAGACACAAAATAGATAGATAATAGATAGAAATATGCAGAAAGTTATGAACAAGACAGAAAGTGAGAGACTCAGAATTATAGAAAAAGGAAGATCAAGTCAACCAATCCAAGGAGAGTCAGAGAGAATAAAACAATCCAAAAAGGGAAAGCATACCCAGGGGTGGGGAAGTGAGGTCAGAGACCTAGAGAGACAGAGAAGGCGGAAGGAGGAAATAGACATGAAGAGAGTTGGGGTGGAGGGTGAGAGAGAGAGAGAGCATTAGGTCATAGAGCAGGGGAGTGAGTTCTCAGCTCAGGTATGAGGGGAGCTGTGACAAGGAAGAACCTCCCTGAGGAAACTGCCTCTTCTCCTTCCAGGTCTATATGAGAAACCTTCTCTCTCAGCCCAGCCGGGCCCCACGGTTCAGGCAGGAGAGAACGTGACCTTGTCCTGTAGCTCCTGGAGCTCCTATGACATCTACCATCTGTCCAGGGAAGGGGAGGCCCATGAACGTAGGCTCCGTGCAGTGCCCAAGGTCAACAGAACATTCCAGGCAGACTTTCCTCTGGGCCCTGCCACCCACGGAGGGACCTACAGATGCTTCGGCTCTTTCCGTGCCCTGCCCTGCGTGTGGTCAAACTCAAGTGA
The DNA here is from genome assembly GCF_000001405.40 of Homo sapiens. Lineage (NCBI taxonomy): Eukaryota > Metazoa > Chordata > Mammalia > Primates > Hominidae > Homo > Homo sapiens. The sequence goes on along the minus strand of NT_187645.1, from coordinate 13,164 downwards.
CCCACTGCTTGTTTCTGTCACAGGTGAGGAAAACCCGTGTCTGTCCCATGTCTTATGATCCTAGAGCCATAGCTGAGGAGCTTCCTGCCGATGATGGGGAGAAGCATGGACAGATGCAGAGAGAACACGAAGACTGGGTGTGAGGGGGGGGTCAGGGTGCAGGATGGCAGACAGGGCACCTCCAAACCCTCTTGCATGGCCTGCATGGAGGCCCATGGTCAGGGCTCCAGGCACCCAGGCAGATGGAGAAAGCGGTCAGGACAGACCCAGAGAAGGGGAGACTGGGCTCAGTTTGGGGAGATCAGAGGTTCCCTCAGCCCCTCAACCTTACCCATTTCCCAGAAGCCCATCCTGGCCTCTCACCCACACAGAGAGATGTCATCACCAGCAACCCCTACACTCTTTTCTTTTCATTTTCAAAAATATTTATTGAGGTTAAATGTAACTATATAATTTACCAACTTTACCATTTTTAAAAGTAAAATCTAGTGGTCATAAATACCTTTATATGCTGGGTGTGGTGGTTCACGGTTGTAATCTTGGCGCTTTGAGAGGCCAAGAAAGGTGGATCATTTAAGATCAGGGACTCGAGATCAGCCTGGCCAACATGCGGGAAATTCATCTTTACTAAACAGACAAGAAAAATTAGCCAAGCATGCCGGCATGCACCTGTAGTCCTAGCTACTTGGGAGGCTGAGGCAGGAGAAGCACTTAAAGCCAGGAGGCAGAGGTTGCACTGAGCCGAGATCATGCCACTGCACTGCAGCCTGGGAGACAGAGAGAGACTCTGTTTCTAAATAAATAAATACATCTATATTCTTTTTTTTGTTACCCTCCACCCTTCCCTTCCTGGCCTCTGGTATCCACCATTCTATTCTCTACCTTCATGAGATCCACCTTTTATCTCCTGCATGTGGTGAGAAATGGGAATCTTTGTAATGACCTCCAGTTCCATCCATGTGGCTGCAAATGACAGGATGTTATTGTTTCTATGGATGAGTAGTCTCCACCGTGTGTGTGTACTACAGTTCTCTATCCATTCACCCACTGATAGGCAGGTAGGTTGACTCCACATCTTGGCTACTGTGAACAGTGCTGGAACAGTCATATGAGTGCAGATATCACTTCGATACACTGATGTCCTTTCCTTTGGATATAAACCCAGTAGTGAAATTGCTGGACACTATGAAAGTTCTCTTTTTTTTTTTTCTTTTTTGAGAAAGAGTTTCCCTCCTTAGTCCAAGCTGGAGTCAAAGTGGTGCGATCTTGGCTCATTGCAACCTCTGCTTCCTAGGTTCAAACGATTCTCCTGACTCAGCCTCCCTAATAGCTGTGATTACAGGTGCACGCCACCATGCCTGACTAATTCTTGTATTTTTTAGCACAGACGGGATATCCCAATTTTGGGCAGGCTGCTCTCAAACTCCTGACCTCAAGTGAGGTGCCTGCCTCGGTTTCCCAAAGTGCTGAAGTTACAGGCATAAGCCACTATGCCCAGCCTCCTTTTAGTTTTTTAAAGTTTTTCCATACTTTTCTCCATAATAGTTGTACTAATTTACATTCCTACCAACAGGGTACCAGGGTTCTCCTTTCTCTACCATCTTGCCAGCATTTGTTTTGCCTGTCTTGCAGATAAAAGCCATTTTACTTTATTTATTTATTTATTTATTTATGTTGAGATGGAGTTTCACTCATAGTCGCCCAGGCTGGAGTGCAAGGGTGTGATCTCGGCTCACTGCAACCTCTGCCTCCCGCGTTCAACTGATTCTCCTGCCTCAGCCTCCAAAGTAGCTGGGATTACAGGCATGTGCCACCACGCCTAGCTAATTTTTGTATGTTTAGTAGAGAGGGAGTTTCTCCATGTTGGTCAGGCTGGTCTCCCGACCTCAGGTGATCCGCCCACCTCCGCCTCCCAAAGTGCTGGAATTACAGGCGTGAGCCACCGGCCTAAAAGGCATTTTAATGGGATGAGATGAAAACTCATCGCGATTGTAATTTACATTTCTGTGATGATGAGTGATGCTGAGCACTTTTTCATATACGTGATCGCCATTTCTATGTTTTGTTTGTGGAGAAATGTCTCCTCATGTCTTTTGCTCGTTTTTTAATTAAATTGTTTTATTGAGTTGTTTGAGCTTCTTATATTTCCAGTTATTAATCCCATCTCAGATGAATAGTTTGCAAATATTTGCTCCTATTTTGTGGGTTGTCTCTTCACTTTGTTGGTTTATCTTTGGTGGTGCAGAAGTTGCTTGGTTTGATGTAATCCTAATGGTCTATTTTTTGCTTTGATTACTTGTGTTTTGAAGGTTTTAAACAAAATGTCTTTCGTCAGACAAATGTCTTCCCCATTATTTTCTTCTACATGTTTCATAGGTTCAGGCCTTAGACTCATGTTTTTAATCCATTTTCATTTGATTTTTGTGTAAGGTGACAGGTATAGATGCAGTTTTATTCCTCTGCATGTAGATATCCAGTTTTCCCCACACCATTTATTGAAGACTGTCCTTTCTTGATTGTAAGTTCTCGGCACCTTTGTCAAAGTCCATTAAATGGGCTGGGCATGGTGGCTCACACCTGCAATTCCAGCACTTTGGGAGGCCGAGGCGGGTGGATCACCTAAAGCCAGGAGTTCAAGACCAGGCTGGCCAACAGAGTGAAACCTCGTCTCTACTAAAAATACAAAAATTAGCTGAGCATGGTGATCAGTGCCTGTAATACCACTACTCAGGAGTTTGAAGCAAGAGAATTTCTTGAATCCAGGAAGTGGAGGTTGCATTGAGCTGAGATTGCACCTCTACACTCCAGCCTGCATGACAGAGCAAGATTCCATCACACACACACAAAAGAAAGCCATTGGATGTAAATGCATGGATTATATCTGTGTTCTCCATTCTGTTCCATTTTTTATGTGCCTTTCTTTATGCCAATGTCATGCTGTTTTGCTTACTACAGCTCTGTAACATATTTCTAAGTCAGGTAGTGTGATGCTCCTGTTTTCTCTTTATACCTTCAAGTCTCAAGACAGTGGGCATCGCACACAAAAATTATGGAGAAAAGGATCCCAAGACTCCCAGGGTCCAACATTAGATAACAGAGTGTTGGCCATGAACCAACCTCAAAGATTTCCATTGAGTAGAGGACAAGCACCCTCATTTCCTCACATCTCTCCTGTCCCGTGTTCTAGGAAACCCTTCAAGTAGTTGGCCTTCACCCACAGAACCAAGCTCCAAATCTGGTGAGTAAAGGACCCCTCTTATCTCTGCTTTTGGAAACCTGGGGAGGTGGAAGCCTTGGATGCAAGTGTTGGCTCAAACCTCCCAGCTCTGTGAATGAGGGCCTGTCTTCCACCATCTCTGAACTCCAGACACTCCAACAGTGAAAGGGATCTAGGGCCACCAAAGGGCTCAGCGAAGTCTCTTTACCTTTAATTTCCTGCAGGTGAGACCTCCTACAAGCTAGAAGAATAATTGCCAATCTGACATCCTTCTCAGGAAAAATGCAGTGTTTTTTCTGCCTGCATTCCTAACTGGAGGATAAATTCCCGGGGGCTTGAGAGAGGGAAGGGAAGGGAACATCTGATGAGGGTGGGTGTTTTAGAGAAGTTCCACTTGCCAAGGAATGAATTACTGTTGGTCATCAGGCAACCCTGGCTGACTCAGCAGAGCAAGAGCCTTGCCGTAACAGAGAACAGAGCTCATGCACGCACACTTCGACTCACTGACTCATTCAGCCACAGCCCCATGCTCAGGCTGTGCAGTGTGGAAGCTTTTCCTATTGTTGCCATAACAAATTTCCACAAGATTCGTGGGTGAAAACAAAACGGTTATTTAATTATCTTACAGTGCTGTAGCTCAAAGCATGACGTGCATGTCACTGGGCTAAAATCAAGGTGACAGCAAGGCTGCCTTCCCTCTGAGGGTTCCAGGCAAGAATCTGCTTCTCACTTTTCTCAGCTTCTAGAGGCTCCCATGTTCCTTGGCTCCTGGTACCCTTCCTCCTTCCTCAAAGCCCACAAAGACTGGTCACATCTCACATGGCATCACTCAGACCCTTCTTCCTTACCACACCTCTTTCTCTGAATGCTGCTCTCCCTTCTTCCCCTTCTTTTGAAAACTTGGGGATTCTATTGGGTTCACCAAGATGAAAATCCATCATAATCTCCCGGAAATCATCCAGGATACCCTCCTTTTAAGTTCAGCTGACTAGCAACCATAATTCCATCTGCAATCTTCATTCCTCCTTTCATGTAAAATAACATATTCACAAGCTATGGAGGCTAGGACATGGACATTTTTGGGGTGGGACAACATTCTCCTGCCTTCCACAAACAGTGAACAAGATGCATTTGGCCTCTGTTCTTGGGACACTGATCTTGCAGATGGTTAAATGGGAGGGCAGAAAATGTAGGCACAAGGGGACCAATAAATGAATGATCTATTGAGAAGCATCTGTGCATGAAATCTATTTATTTATGTATTTACCTACTTGTTTATTGAGACGGAGCCTTGCTCTGTCGTCCAGGCTAGAGTGCGGTGGCATGATCTCGGCTCACTGCAACCTCCACCTCCTGGGCTGAACTGATCTCCTCCCTCAGCCTCTCCAGTAGCTGGGATTACAGACCACAACCACCACGCCCGGCTAACTCTTTTTGCATATTTTCTGTAGAGAGGATGTTTCACCATGTTGGCCAGGCTGGTCTCAAATTCCCAACCTCAGGTGATCCAATAGCCTCTGCCTCCCAACACGCTGGGATAAGAGGCATGAGCCACGGGGCCAAGCCAAATTTTCAAATCAATAATAGATAATGCTGAGTGTATGATTTCAGGTGACAGAGAAGTTCTCACTAATCAGATATTTGTGACATTAATGAAAAACACGGATTGAACCCCTGAAAGATGGGCGGAAGGATTTTGCACACACAGCTGTCAGCCGTGAAGGCACAAAGGTGAAAATAATCTGATGTTGAAGGAAGAGGCTCTGCCTCAAATGCTGGGAATGACGTGGGGAGAATGACAAGACGACTGTAGAGAGACGGAGAGCACACTGGGTACACAGGAAACTAAGGAGCAACAAGGAGTGTGTGTTTGACACTCACAGCCATTGGACTCACCTCGGGGTAACCAGGAATCCCTACATGATTAATATGACTGACATGAAAATAAGGGAGGCCCAGGTGCGTAACTGGAATCTAGGAGACCGTGGAAAAGGCAATTCCCGCCCCACTGGTGAAATGTGGTGCTGATTTAGACACTAAATGAATGAAGTAGATGGGTATAAGATATGTTTGTGAGGTAGAATCATTGGCTGGAAAGGCTTGCTGGGTTTGATTTTTTCCTGGTAGTTTAATCCTCGCTTCACTAACTTATTTCTGAGATTTATTTCTCCTGCATCTAAATCAATACCTGGCAGAGGAGGGAGAGCTAGATGAGGGGTGGTGCAAATGAAGGGACCTAGTATAGCATAATATACAAGGCTGTGAACGGTGGCTCACGCCTGTAACCCAGCACTTCAGGAGGCCAACGCGGGTGGATCACATGAAGTCAGGAGTTCGAGACCAGCCTGGCCAACATGGAGAAACCCTATCTCTACTAAAAATACAAAAATTAAACAGGCATGATGGTGGTGCATGACTGTAATCCCAGCTACTCTGGAGGAGGAAGCAGGAGAATGACTTCAGCCCTGGAGGCAGAGGTTGCAGTGAGTGGAGATCGCGTCACTGCACACCAGCCTGGGCTACACAGGGATACTCTGGCTCAAAAAATAAAAATAAAAAATACATAAATATAATAATATACACAAATGATGCAGGCACCTGAATTCCAATCATCATTTTTCTATTTCTCTATAATTACTTCTTTGATCCTTTATCTTATCCATTAGAAAATCAGCCTAAAACCTCTTCCATATTTGGCTTTCTGTGAACATGAGATCATATGGAAAATATGAAAGCCCCCTGAACCCACCAGCACAGGCCCTGAAATAGGGAAAGTGCTCTGTTCATCACAAGAAACTTGCCCCCTCACCCAAATCCCCCACCTCACCCCTACTTCCAATCACCTGTGGAGATACAGATAGATCATGGGGAGGTAAACGCTAATACTCCTTGGAGTGAGTTCAGATCTTGGAATCAGAGATCAGCACCAGCACTAGCTCCTGCTCCCCTTTCCTACTAATTCACAGGAGGACAGGTGGTTTTGAAGCAATAGATGGTGGAGGGGGTGGTCTTTCCCCCAGCCTCTCAGGTGGAACAGCAGCCTAACATGTGTCTCGCGAGATCACAAAGAGTAGCACGTTTCACATGGGCTTCATCATTATTTCCTGGCTGTTTGACATAAGAGAATTCTACTTTGCTTTTTTGATCTTGATTTCACTTTTGTGTCCTTTTCTTGGAGAATGTAATTTGAGTCAAGAGGGTTGTGGATGTAGAAACTGTAAAGCACATTCACTGTGTATCAATCCCAGTTCAGTCTTTCCAGAGAAGACTCTAAACACCTGCTGTACTGCACCTGGGCCTATGCAAATTTCTATCACTCACCGTCACTCCAGGGAGACAGAACACACAGAGAATACGTTACATAGGCAGGTTCATTACTAACAGATAAGCAGCGAGTGACAACAGAAGCCTACATTTCAATGTGAGCCAGTCCCTCAAGGCTCAGAAAAGCTTCTCGGGACATATGGAGTCACCTCATTTGCAGTGTATCTGGGGGAAGCCAGAAAATAGCCCAGCCTGGGTTTTGTACCCTGAAGCCACAGGAAGCACTCAGCTAAAGCACTGCATGACGTCCTCCTCCAGGAAGAACAGGAAGACAGCACAGGCTGTTCTGAGACGTTCCTCCTGATCTCAGGACGTTGCTGTCTTAGTCCATTTTTGTTGCTATAAAAGAACACTTGAGCCTGGGTTACTTCTTTTTTTTTTTTTTTTTTTTGTATAGTGCTTCTGATGAGCTTTTTTTTTAAATTTTTATTATTATTATACTTTAAGTTTTAGGGTACATGTGCACAATGTGCAGGTTAGTTACATATGTATACATGTGCCATGCTGGTGTGCTGCACCCATCAACTCGTCATTTAGCATTAGGTATATCTCCTAATGCTATCCCTCCCCCCTCCCCCCACCCCACAACAGTCCCCAGAGTGTGATGTTCCCCTTCCTGTGTCCATGTGTTCTCATTGTTCAATTCCCACCTATAAGTGAGAACATGCAGTGTTTGGATTTTTGTCCTTGTGATAGTCTACTGAGAATGATGATTTCCAATTTCATCCATGTCCCTGCAAAGGACATGAACTCATCATTTTTTATGGCTGCATAGTATTCCATGGTGTATATGTGCCACATTTTCTTCATCCAGTCTATCATTGTTGGACATTTGGGTTGGTTCCAAGTCTTTGCTATTGTGAATAGTGCCACAATAAACATACGTGTCCATGTGTCTTTATAGCAGCATGATTTATAGTCCTTTGGGTTTATACCCAGTAATGGGATGGCTGGGTCAAATGGTATTTCAAGCTCTAGATCCCTGAGGAATCGCCACACTGACTTCCACAATGGTTGAACTAGTTTACAGTCCCACCAACAGTGTAAAAGTGTTCCTATTTCTCCACATCCTCTCCAGCACCTGTTGTTTCCCGACTTTTTAATGATCGCCATTCTAACTGGTGTGAGATGGTATCTCATTGTGGTTTTGATTTGCATTTCTCTGATGGCCAGTCATGGTGAGCATTTTTTCATGTGTTTTTTGGCTGCATAAATGTCTTCTTTTGAGAAGTGTCTGTTCATGTCCTTTGCCCACTTTTTGATAGGATTGTTTGTTTTTTTCTTGTAAATTTGTTTGAGTTCATTGTAGATTCTGGATATTAGCCCTTTGTCAGATGAGTAGGTTGCGAAAATTTTCTCCCATTTTGTAGGTTGTCTGTTCACTCTGATGGTAGTTTCTTTTGCTGTGCAGAAGCTCTTTAGTTTAATTAGATCCCGTTTGTCAATTTTGGCTTTTGTTGCCGTTGCTTTTGGTGTTTTAGACATGAAGTCCTTGTCCATGCCTATGTCCTGAATGGTAATGCCTAGGTTTTCTTCTAGGGTTTTTATGGTTTTAGGTCTAACGTTTAAGTCTTTAATCCATCTCAAATTAATTTTTGTATAAGGTGTAAGGAAGGGATCCAGTTTCAGCTTTCTACCTATGGCTAGCCAGTTTTCCCAGCACCATTTATTAAATAGGGAATCCTTTCCCCATTGCTTGTTTTTCTCAGGTGTGTCAAAGATCACATAGTTGTAGATATGTGGCATTATTTCTGAGGGCTCTATTCTGTTCCATTGATCTATATCTCTGTTTTGGTACCAGTACCATGCTGTTTTGGTTACTGTAGCCTTGTAGTATAGTTTGAAGTCAGGCAGCATGATGCCTCCAGCTTTGTTCTTTTGGCTTAGGATTGACTTGGCAATGCAGGCTCTTTTTTGATTCCATATGAACTTTAAGGTAGTTTTTTCCAATTCTGTGAAGAAAGTCATTGGTAGCTTGATGGGGATGGCATTGAATCTATAAATTACCTTGGGCAGTATGGCCATTTTCACGATCTTGATTCTTCCTACCCATGAGCATGGAATGTTCTTCCATTTGTTTGTATCCTCTTTTATTTCATTGAGCAGTGGTTTGTAGTTCTCCTTGAAGAGGTCCTTCATATCCCTTGTAAGTTGGATTCCTAGGTATTTTATTCTCTTTGAAGCAATTGTGAATGGGAGTTCACTCATGATTTGGCTCTCTGTTTGTCTGTTATTGGTGTATAAGAATGCTTGTGATTTTTGTACATTGATTCTGTATCCTGAGACTTTGTAGAAGCTGCTTATCAGCTTAAGGAGATTTTGGGCTGAGACAATGGGGTTTTCTAGATATACAATCATGTCATCTGCAAACAGGGACAATTTGACTTCCTCTTTTCCTAATTGAATACCCTTTATTTCCTTCTCCTGCCTAATTGCCCTGGCCAGAACTTCCAACACTATGTTGAATAGGAGTGGTGAAAGAGGGCATCCCTGTCTTGTGCCAGTTTTCAAAGGGAATGCTTCCAGTTTTTGCCCATTCAGTATGATACTGGCTGTGGGTTTGTTATAGATGGCTCTTATTATTTTGAGATACGTCCCATCAATGCCTAATTTATTGAGAGTTTTTAGCATGAAGCGTTGTTGAATTTTGTCAAAGGCCTTTTCTGCATCTATTGAGATAATCGTCCGGTTTTTGTCTTTGGTTCTGTTTATATGATGGATTACATTTATTGATTTGCATATATTGAACCAGCCTTGCATCCCAGAGCCTGGGCAACTTCTAGAGAAAACAGATTTGTTTGCCTCACAGTTCTGCAGGCTGTACTGGAAGCATGGCACCAGCATCTGTTTCCTGTGACGGCCTCAGGCTGCTCCCACTCTGGCAGAAGGGAAGGAGGGTCTGTCTGTGCAGAGACCACAGAGATCACATGGCAAGAGAGGGAGCAAGGGGGAGGGCGAGCGATGGAGCTTCCAAGCTCTTTTTAACAACCAGCCCTCCGGGAACTAATAGAGGGGGAACTTGCTAACCCCATCATGTGGGGCAGCATTAATCTATTCATGATGGATCCACCTCCATGACTCAAACACCTTCCCATAGGCCCAAACTTCCACACTGGGGGTTAAATTTCAATATTTCAGTGTGAGGTTTCAAAGGGTCAAACATCTAAACTAAAGCAGCTGTATCCTCAGCATGTTCTATGGTTTCTATGAGAGCTGTAACTGAGAAAGCAGGAGAAAGCTGGGTCTCCCGCCATCAGGCTGCTTGTCCTAAGGAGATGTTCCATGTGGTTACCTGTCAATCAAGAAATGAGACAATCCATAAAGAGGAACTGCTATGATTAGCTTCTTATTGGATTCCCATCTTCCTCCAGGTATCTGCAGACACCTGCATGTTCTGATTGGGACCTCAGTGGTCATCTTCCTCTTCATCCTCCTCCTCTTCTTTCTCCTTTATCGCTGGTGCTCCAACAAAAAGAGTAAGTCTCACGAAGCAGAGGCCAGAGAGCTCAGGGCCATGTGGGGAAGCAGGATGGGAGCACGCGGGTGTGTGTTCCTCACTGGCAGGATGGTCCCTGGCCCAAGGGAGGAGCCACAGAGGCAGGGCTTTCTAGAGAGAGCACCAGACAACCTGCCCCTGCCTTCAGCTCACAGACCATTGCCTGGTTCTGAACTGTATCCTCACATCCCCTGCAGCCACTGACATCCAGAAGCTTCCATGACAGGCAGAAAGTGGGAGACAGAATCAATGGGATGCCAATTGAGAGCACTTCATGGGATGGGGTCTTGAACTCAGAGAGATAGAATGTCTGAGTCTGGATGTTGGCAGCTGAAGAGCCTCAGGCACCTACAGCCTCCCCCTGTGGGTTGGTGTCTGCCCATGAAATGAGGACCCAGAAGGGCCCTCCAAGCGGTTTTGATGACTTCCGTCTCCTACAGATGCTGCTGTAATGGACCAAGAGCCTGCGGGGGACAGAACAGTGAATAGGCAGGTAGGTCCTCCTCGGCCCAGCCTCACGGATACAGTCTTATCCCTAATAGTCCTGAAAAATGTGAGCACCCTCCCTCACTCAGCATTTCCCTCTCTCCAGGACTCTGATGAACAAGACCCTCAGGAGGTGACGTACGCACAGTTGGATCACTGCGTTTTCATACAGAGAAAAATCAGTCGCCCTTCTCAGAGGCCCAAGACACCCCTAACAGATACCAGCGTGTACACGGAACTTCCAAATGCTGAGCCCAGATCCAAAGTTGTCTCCTGCCCACGAGCACCACAGTCAGGTCTTGAGGGGGTTTTCTAGGGAGACAACAGCCCTGTCTCAAAACCAGGTTGCCAGATCCAATGAACCAGCAGCTGGAATCTGAAGGCATCAGTCTGCATCTTAGGGGATCGCTCTTCCTCACACCACGAATCTGAACATGCCTCTCTCTTGCTTACAAATGCCTAAGGTCGCCACTGCCTGCTGCAGAGAAAACACACTCCTTTGCTTAGCCCACAAGTATCTATTTCACTTGACCCCTGCCCACCTCTCCAACCTAACTGGCTTACTTCCTAGTCCTACTTGAGGCTGCAATCACACTGAGGAACTCACAATTCCAAACATGCAAGAGGCTCCCTCTTAACACGGCACTTACACACTTGCTGTTCCACCTTCCCTCATGCTGTTCCACCTCCCCTCAGACTATCTTTCAGCCTTCTGTCATCAGTAAAATTTATAAATTTTTTTTATAACTTCAGTGTAGCTCTCTCCTCTTCAAATAAACATGTCTGCCCTCATGGTTTCGATAATGTGACTCTTTATTCGCCAAAAGTTTCCAGTGTTATCATTACTATGTCCATATAACCTGATATGTTCTCTACTGGGTTCTCAGCCCTGGACTCTGAGCTTCTGGAAGCAGGGTGGAGCCTCATTTGTCTCTGGGACTCCAATTTCCATCCAAAGATGCAGCACATAGGAGGTTCCAAGGATCGTGAATCACATGAACAAGTGATATTCTTACTCTCTGCAGACCTGGAAAGCTGGCAGAGTCATTCCAAGATGAAACATTTGTAGAGTCATAGGCCTTGTTAGTCTCATCTCCACAGGGACACATGTCAACACATCATCTTTCATACTATAAATATACAGTCGCTCCTCCATATCTGTGGGGTTTACAGGTGTTTATTGAACCAAATATAAATCAAAAATATTCAGAGAAAAAATCCACAAAGTTCCAAAAAGCAAAAATACTATATTGTGTGGACACAAGTGAGGTGGTGTGTAGGCTGTATCAGGAATTATAAGTAATCTAGAGATGATTTCATGTATACAGGAGGATGTGCATGGGTTATATGCAAACGCTGTGCCATTTCATGCAACAGGCTTGAGCATCTGCAGATTTTGGTGTCTGGTAGGGAGGGGGGTTTCCTGGAACCAATCACCCATGAATAGTGAAGGACAACTGTATATAATTTTCATTCATCAATTTTATAAATAAATCATCAAAATGTATGATAATAAGATAAAAAATTAGCAGTGTTTTTATGGTGTGAAAATAAGCTTAGATTTATTTTTTCCTGCTTGTAACCCTCTGGTCCAATGTTATTTACTGAGAAGACATTCTATTCCACCTTAATCCGCATGGCAGCCTCTGTCAACTATAAAAGGACTGTGTGTACACAGATGTATTTTACACACTCTTTTCTGCTCAGTGGCTCTCTGTGTCCACTCTCATGAGGATGCTGCACTTTATGTGGCCTTATAGAACCCCTTAAAATTTGGCAGCCTGAATCCTCTAATTTCTCCTTCCTCTTTAAGATTGCCATTATTATTATTATTGGCTATTTGCTTTTCCATGTAAATTTGTAATCATTTTTCTCATTTCCACCAAAAACAATGCTTGTAATTTTGTTGTGACTCCCTTACATCTACAGGTAAGTTCTGTCCTATAGAAACATAATGCAAACCACATGCATTCTTTCAAACTTGCTAGTATCCAAATTAAAAAGCTAACAAGAAACAGATAAAATTAATTTAAGTTAACCCAATGGACCCAAAATATTATTAACCCAACAGACCCAAAATATTAACCTAATAGATCCAAAATATTATTTTATTATACAAGTAGACTCAAAATATTATCATTTCAACATGTAATCATGTGTCATCTTGGAAAACATCAGATCCCTGTCTAGGTGGGCAAAGATTTTTCTTCGTAATATCTCATTTCCACATTTCCACTTGGCACAGAAACTGCCCCCAAGGCTCAGGATACTAAGATGCAGTAGGAATGGGTAGATGTATCTGGAGGAAAGTGACTGAATGAAATTGAGACATCAGAGTCTGGGGAACTCACTAGAACTACAGGGACAGTGTGGGGGAGGGAATTGGGAGATGTTGATCAAAGGATACAAACTATCAGGTATTCAGGAGGAATGGGTCTGAAGATCTCTTGTACAGCTTTGCCACTATGGTTGACAATACTGTACTCTATACTTGAAATTTACCAGGAAAGTAGATTTTTTTTTTTAAATATGGAACACTTCACGAATTTGCGTGTCATTCTTGCGCAGGGGCCATGCTAGTTTTCTCTGTATCGTTCCAATTTTAGTATATGTGCTGCCGAGGCAAGCATGGGAGAGTAGA